>NC_000009.12:30010000-30161515 GCF_000001405.40 Homo sapiens | reverse complement strand
GGACACTACTATTACCTCTTTGGAGGCCTTTTATACTTCATGGAACACCACAATGATCAACTTTAAATCAATCAGAAGATTTGAGGTCAAGAAACCCCAATAAATACAAATATATAGCTCTTTTAGTTACTTTACTTCATCTGTTTTTCTATACATCTGTCACTCTGCTGTCAAAATCAACACTGCTCACCTTTCTCCCCCGACAAAAAATGTGTGACTTTAAATCAGCTCTCCATGTGATTCTTACTCGTGGAAATGACAAAAAAGCTTGGGACTGACCAATGCTCCTGCTGTAAAATATTCAAAATAACAGAAATACAAAATGTTTTAAATTATTTAAAGGCATAGAAAGCACTTGAAGCACTAAAACTTAAGGAAACACAACCCAAAAGAAGGGAGATGTCAAGGAGAAGAGAATTTACATTGTGAAGCTGTATTATATTATGTGCGTGTATGCACACACACACATGCAGGAACACATGCACATGCATGCTAGTTTTGGAGTAAGGGCAAAAGACTAAAGATGCAAGGAAAAGACATAGCACATGGCAACTATTAAAATATAAGGTACCTGTGTAGATTCTGCAGGTTCACAGTAATAGAGATGATACTGAAGTGAGGCAGGGAAGTGCTGGGTAGAGAAGGGCGAGGTCCCTGGCTAGGGCTCCACCCCCTGGCCTGTGCCCATGGACCTAGGTGAGGACAGACACTCCTGTCTTCGTGCCCAAATGTTGCATTTGTCAAGACCACCCTGGCCTGCCATGCCCTCATCCTGTGCCTATAAAAACCCCGAGACCCTAGCAGGCATGGACACAAATGGCTGGACGTCGAGAGGAATACTTCAGTGAAAGATACAAGTGACAGGCACCAGCAGACGCTGACAGGCCATCTACCAGTGGAATGACACAGAATTTGGCTGGGGTGGTCGAAGGAGATCCCAGCCACTCAGCAGCTTGACTCCAGAAGAAAACAACATTCCCACTCCATCCCCCATCTACTGAGAGCTACCTCCACTCAATAAAACCTTGCACTCATTCTCCAAGCCCACATGTGATCTGGTTCTTTCGGGACACCAAGGCAAGTAATTCCAGGTACAGAAAGCCTTCTGTCCTTGTGATAAGGCAGGGGTCTAACTGAGCTGATAAACACAAGTCGCCTGCAGATGGCTAAACTAAAAAAGTACATGGTAACACATGCTCACTGGGGCCTCGGGAACTGAAAACATTTACCCCTAGACACTGCCATGGGGTCAGAGCCTCGCAACCTGCCCATCTGCATGCTTCCCCTAGGGATTTGAGCAGAGGAGCACTGAAGAAGCGAGCCATACCACGGTTGCACACCCTGTGAGAGGGGTAAGAGATCTTTCCCATTTCAGAGAAACATAAGAGATTGAAGCATCAGGTTATCCTATAAGAAGGGAGAAACGGAGCATGGGAGCATGAACTCTATACTATGGAAAATATTAAGGATTAGAATTTTGGACTTAACTAGTGAGAAACCCTGTGATTGACTATGCCACATTCTGAGCTAAAACTAGGAGGGCCTGGCTTTAGGGGTAAAACAGATGTAGACACACCAAGGCAAAAATTTACAATCCAGACTTGAGTAGCTTCAGACTCTTGAATGGAATTAAGGTGATTAACACCCATACTATGTTCTGAACAAAGGAAAAAGGTGATCCTTTCTTGAGAAAGCTAAAAGGAAAATCAAAGCAAAAGAGAATACACTAAAAGCAGCCAGAAGAAGTAAAGTTACCTTTATAGCTGCAGGAATTAGATTGCCATTTTAACATAAACACTAAGTATAAGAATAATGAAATCTATAAAGCCCTAAAAAGAAAACATATCTAGATTTCTCTACTGAGTTAAAATATCCTTCAATAATGTATGTTAAAGTATTTGCAAATAAACAAATATAGGCACGTTGTAACATATCTACACCAAACATTGTTAAATTTATTTAGACTAAACAAAAATATAACTGGCAGAACTATATATATGCAGCAAATTATCAAGAGTAATAAAAAGGCAAATACGTAGGTAAGTATAAATGAACATTGACTATAAATAACTAAACTTTTAAATTAAAATTATACTTTGAGTTAAAATGCATGACAACAGTAACATGATAGTAAGAGAGGTTGTTATATAGAGTTATCATGTTTAATGTCCTATCTTTGCAGGGAAGTAATTAAAAATTATATTTTTGATTATACGGTAAAAATGAAGGGTGAATGTTAAACTCTGAAATAATTTTAATAGATGCTAAAAATAATATTTAACTGGTAGGCTAATAGATGGACAATACATTCACAAGTTGAATATTCCAAAATAAGGAAAGAAAAACTATTCAAGCAAAGTATAAACTAGTAGACAGAAACCCAAATATGAAAGTAATCACATAAATACAAATGTTAGACGAAAAATTCAAATAGAAAGACTAAGATTTTAAGACAGCCTTTTAAAAGCTCAACTATAAACTGCTTAGTGGAAACACATCTTAAATATAATAACACAGAAATAAAATGTATTGAAAGAGTACATTATGCAAACACTACCCAAGAGAAGTCTTGTGTAGCTATTGCTAAAATCAGACATATAGATGTTACCTAACAGAATTGCATATGCATGTTCACCAATAACAAGAACACTTATAATAGCACTATTCATAATGGACAAAAACTGGAAATGCAGTAACAGTTGAATAGGTAGTGTTGCATTTATACAATTGGATATTATACAGCAATAAGAACAAATAGTTTTTATTACAATAGCCATGATAAAACTCACAAATATAAGATTGAGTAAAAGAAGCTGGACACCATAAATACATACCTTCTGACTTCATTTACATTCATATTTGTCTTTAAAAACAGAAAAAAAGCCATGACAGTAATTACCTTCCATGGAGGTAATGAAAGGAAGAGGGTATGTTGGGGATTTTAAGGTTCTCGTAAAACCTATTTCATCTTATTTGTTTAAATGCTCTTTCTCAGTAGAATATATTTCATTACCTTATTGCTGGTTATATAGATATATTTCCTTTGTGAACATTCATTGAGTTTAATACTTACATGCTGTGCTCTCAGCTGTATGTAAAAGATATGCACTATTCTCAATGATTATTATTACTGGTATATTAATGTAACACCCATAATCAGTATTAAATAAATTTATTAAAATTATTTTATACATATTTTCTATGAATACTATAAAATCAGTGTTTGAAGTGTGAAAATACCTTTTTATACATGGACTATATTATTTTATCTGCTCTCAAAGCTTTCCTTTCATTTCTTCTTGCTTTAATAAATAACTAATTGTGAAACATTCCCAATCATGCATTACTGTTACTTAAATCTGCTCTACTTACTTTAACTGTAATAGTTAAGACAGGAAAAGCATGAGTAGAAATTTCTCAAATTCCTCTGGGGAAAACATACATACCTATATCTGCATACACATGCTCACATAAAATTAGTCTGTGGTACTTATATTAGCTACATTTAACAGCATTTCTGTCAAAGAAAGAATTTCTATATGAAATTAAATTAGACAAAAAATTTAGATTAAAATGAATATATATTAACAACTATATGTTTTTAGGCATTTTTTTCAATTCTTAGCCATTTTTGAGACTTTTCAAAATATTGACATAATTGAAATTTTTATAATGTATGTTTTACATTAAGTGAAAAGTACTGCCATTTTTTAACTTATATATTCTTTTTAGAATTTAGAGAAATATTGGTTCTTGTACTTTTACCCAAAGGCTATAAAAAGGCTAAATGAGAATAAATTGTTAAAGTAATTAAGGGATACGTTTTCCCTCAATAATTAAAGATAAGAACAAGACTCCTCAATTGAACTTTAAATTGAACTAGAGCAGAGCCTAGGGAACAAGAAAGCAAAGGTGAAATGATTTTGCCAATCTATTCTATCCTGTAAATCAACATTGAATTCTGCCTCATTGCCATTAATCTCCAGTATACTTATCTGGAAAGCTGTATGCTTTAATAGAGAAGGTAACTGATTCAAGGCAAAACAAGGTAAGAGAGAAGAACCAGTTATGCAGCTTATATTATCCCAAATAATGGTTACAGTTCTATAACCTAAACTTTATTAATTCAATCTCGTATGTAAAGAAACTGAAACCTAATGATGTCAAAGGTAAAAAAATTACAAAGTGCCCAAGTTGTCACTCAAACTCAGATTTATCAAATGTAGGTTGTCAAATTCCTGGTCCCACAAGCTTTCCACTACATTAAACGTGCAAGAAAATGATGTATCATCTTTCTCACTTCAAAAGACCAGTAAAGTTCTGACCTAATCATATTTTCTGTGAAAATACAAAGAAGTACAAAGACGTCTTTTCCAAGTGTAGTAAAGTGAAACTTTATTAGTTTCTTTGGGCTGCCATAATAAATTACTACAAATAGGATGTCTTAAAACAAGATATTTATTTTTCTGGAGGCCATAAGTCCAAAATCAAGCTGTCAGCAGGTTCTTGTTTCTCTGAAGTTTCTTGGAAAAATCCTTTCTTTACTCTTCCTAGCTTTTGGTGTTGGTGGTAATCGCTGCATTCCTTGGCTTATAGCTGCCTTTGTCTTCATGTGGTTGTCTTCCCTTTGTATGTCTGTGTCTCTATGTTTCTCTCTTTTTATAAGGATCACTGGATTTGGGGCCCACATTAATCTAGTATGACCTCATCTTAACTTGATTGCTTCTGCAAAGACCTGATTTCCAAATAAGATCACGTTCCCAAGTGCTGAGGGTTAGGATTTCAATATATGTTTCTGGACACAACTCACCCAACACAAAGTCATCCTGGGGTTTTTTTGGTATTTCTAAGGAAAAAAATGCAGGCAACAAAACATATTTTGTGGAGGCCTCTCATTGTTATCCCTAATTGGAATGGCAGTATTTATGGTAAGAGCACAGGCCAGATTTCTAGTATACTTTTAGCTTAAGATTGGGTTTCCAACTTGGACCTGTTAGTACTGTAGCCTCAGGTTTTGTGTAGAGTGAGGCTAATATGTGTGTGTCTGAATGAAATGGTACAACAAATACCTAAGCTACCATAACGTGGATAACCAAATATAAATTTATTTCCTGGAAGAAAATAAAATTCTTGACTGGGTAATTAACATGTTCTGTGTTGCCCATCAGGTGGGTTAGTGAAAAAACAAAACAAAACAAAACAAAACAAAACAAAACCCTGCTTATTTGATTCAACTTAAACTTGAGCTGATTTTTTGTATTTTAGTTTTCATAAGGGACTGTGTGTTGGGCACTAAGAACCCTCAGAACTCATTTTATTTTTTATTTTTAGAAATATTTAGACCAGTGCCCTTTATTTGGTTAGTTGTTATTCAGCTGTGTTTTCTTTTCCACTGATACATGTTATTAAATGGATTTCTATTTATGACACTTCCATGTACCTTTTGTTCTTACATATTTAATCCAACAATTTTGTAAGTTTTAAAAATTTGATACATCTAGATGAACTCATGCTTATACATTGCAAAATTACCTCGAATGCATGTAATTTTCAAATATTAGATTATTCACTCATATTAGTGCTTAAATTTAGCTGCAAGAAAAAATCTTGGGAATTTTACTTTGTAATATTTACTAAAATATAAAGTAATTTTAAATTGTTAGTACCAGTACTTAAGTGTTTTGCTATTTGTTTTTAAACTTTCAAATAGAAGAAGGAAGTATATTTGCAAGCCTTTTGTTAATCGCCCATTTTAGCAGTCTAAAATCCTTACAGAGCCATTAATTTCACTTCAGTGTACACTTTTCCTGAAGCTGAATGTTTGTTGTAATTACAAGTGTCTCACTGACCTCCTTATTTAATTTTATTCCTGGAAGTAAAAAAACTATTAAAATTAATATGTTTTCTTCATACCCTTTGCTCATTATAAATGGCCTTGGATTTGAATAAACTACTTTCTCCAGCTTTGTAATTTTCTCATTATTCATATGCTCATTTCTATGTACTAAAATTAATATTAATAATTTAAATATCCAGGGTACATTATGCATAACTTCCAGGTGAGGCATTCCAGTAATGAGACTGGTATTTATTTATCCAGTGTCCTAGCAGTTCATAGATGGCGAGAGGCATTGATGGTAAGTATTTAAGAAAGGACATTTTCCTAGTTTAGATGTTCCAAAGCAGAAGTAAAGACGGAAGGCAAAAATTAAAGTAAAAATAAGAAATTTAGTTTGACATTAAGAGATCCAAACCAATTAGACATGAATAGGCTGCAGTTGGCCCTAGGAAAAAGGATTTAAGTAAAACACAAACAAGTAAACTGTTGTTACAATGCAAGAAGTCAATGTAATTGAAGAAGATTTGGAGTAGAATACAAAAAACCAAGACTGATAAACTGGAGCATTTTGTACAAATGTGCTATACTAAACATTATGCCTATGATCAAAAAATTTCTGGGAAGTGTTTCCATACTAATTTTGAAATTCTTCCTGTGAGGACAGTCTTAATAAAGTTGGGCTTGGAAGAAAGGTTTACAGTATGGTTGAGTATGTGGTTAGAAAAGCTCCTAAGGCAGAGGACTCAAGCTAGCCTAAGAAACAATTGCAGCATCACTGCAACCTGAATAAAACCTGTGGACTCTTCCTGTCCTGAAGTATCTGTTCCACTTTGTTCATATGCTTTAGATCTGTTTTATCAATATAGTAATATTAATTATCTTTAAACCAAAAAGAATATCAACAAATAGTAAACAGCAACAAATATTGTAGATATTAATCCAATTATATCAATAATCAATTTAATGTCAATAGTCTACAAGTAGACCAGTTAAAAGACAGAGATTATTAAAATGGATTAAAAAAAGACCCAAATACATGGTGTTTATAAGAAAAACTACTTTGAGGGTACATATAGATTAAAAGTCAATGGATGGAGAAAGATATTTCATGCTAATAATCAAAATAAAGTGACAGTAGCTATAGCAATTTTAGACAATGCAGACTTTGAAGGAAGAAAAATTGTCAGGGATAAAGAGGGACATTACATAATGATAAAGGGATCAATTCTATAAGAAGACATGATAATTCTTAACATGTCTGTGCCTAATAACAGAGTGTCAAAATACATAAGGCAAAAACCTTCAGAACTGCAATAAAAAACAGCTGAATCCACTACTATAATTTAAGATTTCAACATCTGTCCATCAGAAATGGACAAATCTAGTGGGCAGAAAATTAGGAAGGACATACTTCGATTCAACAATACCATCAGTGAACTAGATGTAATTGACATCTCTAGACTATCTAACAACAGCAGAAAATGAGAGAGGAGAAAGAAAGAAACCAGTCATCCAGGCAGTTAGGGTGGGTCCTCGGTAAAACTCCTTCAAACCAACAACCTGAAAATAGAGATGCAGGCCCCAGATAAGAAAGAGCCTGTGTTCTTGAATGGAAATGCCTACTCTGTGGACCCAGATGTACAAATTCCACTCCTTGTTTGGACACATTTCTCTCTCCTTGGCACTCCTTTGTCTCATTTCATGTGCTTCCTCCCGACTGGTCCCAGGCCAAAGTCTCAGGCCAAGGTTTCATTTCAGCCCTAAATTGGTCCTGAGCCAAGATCTTGGGCGAAGCCTTCAGTTCAGCCCCTGTTTGGTCCTGGGCCAAGGTCCTTGGGCCAAGTTTTCACTTCAGCCCCTCACTGGTCCTCTATACTCTCATGCCTTTTTCTGAATGGTTCTTTTACCAAGGCTATCCACAGACAAATCAGCGCACACTTCTTCATTCCATGCCCTCGTTCCCCTTACCTGTAGTTCTAAATAGTTTCTAACATATCTTTAGCCCATTGGTTATGTAGACCTGAATTATTTTGTCTTTAAATATTTGTAAATTTTCTATATGTTTTTATAAAACTGTTTTCTAAGATAATTTATTTGTGGTTATAGGCATACTGTTTCTCCATGTAAATTTACTCGTATGTTTAGGTAAATATTCCATCACTGTGCATTTGTAAAGCACCTTGTATTCTACTGATGTTTTGTGGAATGTTCTATTAATGTGAACTAGGCCCATTAGTTTGCGAGTGATCAAGTTTTCTATATCCTCACGTATTTTTCTGTCTATATTTTTATCAGAGAAGTGTCCTGAAATCTTCCATTGTAATTGTGAATATGTTTATATATCCTTCCTGTTTCGGCAGGTTTTGCTTTATTTATTTAAGCTCTGTTGTTGCATACACACACAATAAGATGGTTATGTCTTGTATTGTATTGCGGTGTGTAAACTACTCATTTCTTGAGTAGAAAGACTAAAAGATGAACCAATCAGAAATAATAACTACACCAACTTTTCAAGACATAGCACAATAAGATATAAATAGAAACACAAAAGGTTAAAAAGAGGGGGAACAAAGTTCAAGTGTTGAATTTTTATTCATTTTTGCTGTGTTTTGTTGTTACTTTGTTTATGCAATCAGTGTTAAATTGCAATCAGTTTTGCAATCTTTATGGTAACTTCAAATCAAAAAAACATACAACAGATACACAAAAAATAAAAAGCAAGAAATTAAAATATATGAGTAGAGAAAATATCCTTCAGTTAAAGGAAGACAGGAAGGAAGGAAAAGAGAAAGAGAAGACCAGAAAACAAATAACAAAATGGCTGGCATAAATTCTTATTTATCAATAATAACATTGAATGTAAATGGATTAAACTCTCCAGTCAAGATATCCAGAGTAGGTGAATTGATAAAGAAACATGACTCAATGATCTGTGGCCTACAAGAAACACATTTCTCCTGTAAAGACACATGTACACTGAAAATAAAGGGATGGAAAAAGATATTCCATGCCAATGGAAAGAGAGCAGGAGTAGCTATATTTATATGGAGCAAAATATATTTAGGACAAAAACTATAAAAAGAGACAGAGAAGGCCATTATATAATGATAAAGGGTTCAACTCAGCAAAAGCATATAACAATTTTAAGTATATTTACCCAACACTGGAACAACCGGTTATATAAAGCAAATTTTATTAGAGCTGAAAGGAGAGATAGGCCCAAATGCAATAATATCTGGAGACTTCAACATTCTACTTTCAGCATTGGACAGATCATCCAGATACATAATCAGCAAAGAAACAGTAGACTTAATCTAGACCAAATGGACCTAATAGATGTTCACAGAACATTTCATCCAGTGGCTGCAGGATGCACATTCTTCTCCATGCATGGATCTTCTCAATGATAGACCACATGTCAGGGCACAAAACAAGTCTTAAGACATTGAAAAAAAATTGAAATAATATCAAGTATATTCTCTGACCACAATGAAATAAAACTTAAAGTCAATAACGAGGAATTTGGGAAACTATATAAATACATGGCAATTAAAGAATATGCTCCTGAATGATCAGTGGATCAAGAACTTTCAAGAAAAAATTAAGAATTCAATTTATAAATTTCTTGAAACAAATGATAATGAAAAAAATACCAAAATCTATGGGATACAGTGAAAGCAATACTAAGAGGAAAGTTTATAGCTATAAAAGCCTACATCAGAAATGAAGAAAAATTCAAATAAGCTAATGATGCATTTTAAGGAACTAGAAAAGCCAAAAAAAAAACAACCCAAAATTAGTAGAAGAAATAATAAAAAAACAGAGCAGAAAGAAACCAAATTTCAATGAAGAAAACAATACAGAAGATCAATGAAACAAAAAGTTGGAGATTTTTGAAAAGATAAATAAAATTGACAAACCTTTAGCCAGTCTAAGAAACAGAGAGAAGACTCAAATAAATAAAATCAGAGCTGAAAAAGTAGACATTAAAACCAATACCATAGAAGTGCAAAGCAGTGCTAGGGGCTAATATGAGCAACTATAATCCAATAAATTGGAAAATCTAGATAAAAAAGGATAAATTTCTAGACACATACAACCTGCCAAGATTGAATCATGAGAAATTTCAAAACTAAAAGATCAATAAAAAATAACAAAATTAAGGCCATAATAAAAAGCCTCTCAGCAAAGAAAATCCCAGAACCCAATGGCTTTACTGCAGAATTTTACTGAACATTTAAAAAAGAACTAACACCAATTTGACTCAGACTATTCTGAAAAATCAAAGAGAAAGGAATACTTCCAAACTCATTCTATGAGGCCAGTATTACCCTAATCCCATAACCAGACAGTGGCACATCAAAAAAGAGAGAACTACAGGCCATATACCTCATGAACATTGATGCAGAAATCCTCAGCAAAACAATGGTAAAATGAATTCAAAAACACATTAAAAGGATCCCTCATCATGATGAAGTGGGATTTATCCCTGGGATTCAAGGATGGTTCAATATATGTAAATCATTTAATGTGATATATCATATGTATAGAATAAAAGACCAAAAACTTATGATCATTTTAATTGATACTGAAAAGGCATTTGATAAAATTCAACATCCTTTATGATAAAAACCCTCAAAAAACTGGGTAGAGAAGAAACATACCTGAGCACAATAAAAGCCATAAACAACATACCCACAGCCAGTATCATACTGAATGGAGAAAAACTGAAAGCTTTTTCCTCTATGATCTAGAACATAACAAGTATGCTGACTTTCATCAACATAGACAAAAGAAAGATATTGGAAAGGAAGAAGCCAAATTATCCTTGTTGGCAGATGATATAATTTTATATTTGGTAAAACCTAAAGACTCTACCAAAAATTATTAGAATTTAAAAACAAATTTAGTAATGTTGCAGGTTACAAAATCAACATACAAAAATAAGCAATATATATATATGATATCAGTGAACAATTTGAAAAAACATCAAGAAAATAATCTCATTTTCAATAGCTACAAATAAAATTATATACCTCTGAATTAACCAAAAAAGTGAAAGTTCTCTACAATGAAAACTATAAAATATTGAGAAAGAAACTGAAGATAACAGAAAGAAATGGAAAGATATTCCATGTTCATGGGTTGGAATAATTAATATTGTTAGAATATCCATACTACCCAAAGCAATGTAGAGATTCAATGCAATCCCTGTCAAAATAGCAATGACATTCTTCATGGAAGTAAAAAAAAACAACCATCATAAAATTTATAAGAAATCAGTCCAGGAGTTGTGGTTCACTCCAGTAATCCCAGCACTTTGGGAGGCTGAGGTGGGCAGATCACCAGAGGTCAGGAGTTTGAGAGCAGCCTGGCCAACATGATGAAACCCTGACTCTACTAAAAATACAAAAATTAGCTGAGCGCAGTGGCACATGCCTGTTGTTGCAACTACTCAAGAGGCTGAGGCAGAAGAATTTCTTGAACCCAAGAGATGGAGGTTGCAGTGAGCCGAGACCATTCCACTGCACTCCAGCCTGGGTGACAGAGTGAGACTCCAACTCAAAAAAAAACAAAACAAAACAAACAAACAAACAAAAAACATTATATGAAATAACAGAAGACCCAGAATATCCAAAGCTATCCCAAGCAAAAAGAACAAAACTGAAGGAATCACATTACCTAATTTCAAATTATTCTACAAAGCTATAGTAGCTAAAACAGCATGGCACAGGCATAAAAACAGACACACAGACCAGTGTAACAGAATAAAGAACCTAGAAACAAGAAATCCATACATTTACAGTGCACCCATTTTCAACTAAAGTGCCAAGGACATATATTGGGGAAAGGACTGTCTCCTCAGTAAATGATGCTGGGAAAACTGGATATCTATATGAAAAAGTAAAATCAAAATGGATTAAAAACTTAAATCTAAGATCTCAAACTTTGAAACTCTACTATTTTTTTATCACTTTATATGTAGAAATGATATTTCATATAATGTCTTTGGTTACTTGTTGTACTTCTTTAATTTCTGTATCATGGGTATATGTCTTAGAAACCTTAACCTTAAACACAATTGCTGGTATTACACCTAAAATAATTTTAGTCAAGTCACATTGGAGACACCTCTCTCATAAACTAAGGTTACATTTTGACTATTTACTGATATTTGTACTGACAAATGAATAAAAAACAGAGAATATGTTTAGTGTTTTTAAAGGTACTTTAAACCTAAGTTTCATAGGCTTTTAGCATTATAAATACTTCCTTTTAAGTTCTGAGTTTTAAGAAGTAGCTATCCATGTCAACCTTGTTAGAAATTAGATTATGCTTTTGTATTTTAAATACTTATCAGTTTGAGTATCTATAAAATGCCGAATATTACACACCCTTGCACTGTGTTATCTTTACTACATCACAAATATTTAAGTTAGGTCCATTAGGAATGTAATTAACATGATTTTCAAGCTAGTAGATAAATATAAAAACTGACCATTCAAACATGTCAATTTCCTAGTTTTATACATTAAATGCCCACTTTCAAGTCAGTAAAAAGCAAAATATCAAAGATCCATATTTTTTAATTCTTATTTTGTAGAATTTGAGGACAATTGTCTTTTGTACCTTTAAGAAAACAACCCTACTTACTGCAAAATTTTGTTTGTTCAGAATAAATAAATTTAAGAAAATGTTTCAAACTCCCAATTTTTGAATATAAAAGGTTGCAGTTTTAATTTCCAAGTTTCTTAAAACGTCAGTGTAATTCAGCTCATATCTACCTCTTCCACCCAATTTTTCTTTTATCTGTTTGAAGCCATGTACTGAATAAATATGTTTTAATCCTGAGTGATTTTATGATCCTCTGTGGCAAAAGGAATTAACCACTGCATATATGTAAGATCAACTATAGTATCTTACAAGTTTTAGAAAATTCAGCACCATAGAAACTCCATTCATTTAAAAAAAATAACGATAGCAATATGTTTCCTATGTAGGATCTTGAAATTACAGATTTCATAGTTGTTCTACAATAAGGGTTTACTCCACTCATTCTCGTATCTCTGTAAGCTCTGGTGAAACAGCAGGATTTTCAAACTGGCTGTGAAATTAGATTTCTCTGTCATAAGAAATGACATATCTCATATGTCTGATTGCTAAACAGAAAAAATCTACATTATTATGGTATATTTATATTTCCCATGAATATTATCTCTAATAATATGCAAAGGATGTTGCACAAATTGAGGCTGACATTTGCGTATTTTGCAATTTTTAGTAGAATTTGAGCTCTAACATTTCTTTCTTCTGATTATATTTTATGAAATAAATGGCTCATAAAAAATAGTCATAGATCCCTAAAACCAAACTAAAAAATAACCTGTATTGTCAAAACAGTTTAAATTTTCTCCCAAGGAATTTTTAATCTGTTATTGATATAGTTGAATATTATGAGACTTTCTAGACCAGTTCTGTTTTATAAATAGCCAAAACAATATACAAATATTCATTCTACTGTGACTTTTTAATATTTTGGTGTTTAGTATTGATACAAACTCATCACTTTCATATGCAAATTAGAGTTTAGGCCTTGAAGCCACACAAAATTGGGTTCTAAGTTCAACTTTGTGTCTCATAGTTTACGAGGCAAGTCATATAAACTACCAAAGCATCAGCATTCTCATCTTTAATACAGAGGTAACTATAATCCCTTACTTTTAGAATTGTGTTTATTTAGTGTACAGCTATTGTTTACAAATTTCCTTTTTATCGGATATGGTGAACTAAGATGGAGATCCATTGGTTATGGCTATTTAAAATACCAGGTATTCTTAGGCAACTCCTGGCCCGTGCGACTAAATCAGGTTCACACTAAAGAAATAATTCTAGCAGGTGTAGGTGACAATAACCTTGGAATAAAGCTAGTATCTTAGAAATAGCTCGACAGAACCAAATGGTTTAAGAGCTCTTTGGACAGATTTTAAAAATTATAACTATCTTAAAACTATTGGCACTGACTTTCTCAACTTCTCACTAAAATAACTATAAAGGCATATATAAAACAGAGAAAACTATAGAAATACTAAGACAAATTCTAGAATCTGGACAAAATGTTATCTATTTATAAAACTGATAGAATAAGTTTACAAAGATCAAACAGTATACTGTTTATGCCAGAACAGAGAGGACGACCTGCACCAGAGTAAGCAGAAAGTCACTTAGATCTCTACCCCAGGAAACTCTCTCTGTTCAGGAAATGCAAGCTTGGAATCAATACCAAATGGGAGCTATAGGCACTCTATTACGTGGCTGCTTGATTTGGTGAAGGGACACAATGCTGCCTATTACCTCTCATCCTATTCACACCTTTCTTTCTATATCTATGATGAGACCAAAACTACTAGAAAACAATCAATAGAAAAATACAGAATGCAGATTTAATATACCCAATGAATTCACAGGAAAATCCATAAAAAGTGATTCACACCTTGTTAGAGTCCATACTCTACAGACATATTTCTAATTAAAGGTATAAAGAAAGTTCCCAGCCTCTAGACAGGAAAGAAGAAAGACTTTAAAAATAGGGAAAGGGAAAAAATCAGACTTCTGATAGACATCCTTGCAATACTAAATACCAGGAAAAAATAGAGAAACGTGCACTTGTTTTGAAAATAATAATCCAATGCTTTTGCAATGAATCCAGTTTTAAAAACAATGGAATATTTTTTCCTACTTTTATTTGGAAAAAATAACTTTGTTATAATAAAGCTCTCAAGGGACCATCGTCACTGTATTGTGTGAATTTATATAACATATTAAGTATTAATTTCTACATAAATTTATATCAGTCTACTAGGTTAGTATCTTTATTTTTTCACAGTTAATCAATTTTTAGTAGATTGCTTTTAATGGTATAGACGTTATAAAGCAATTTCTTATCCTGATTTCATGGTGGGACATTAGCATCATTAATTACTGATTACCAACTCTGAAGACATGCTGAATTCATTAGCTTCTTAAGCATGAAGACACCTTTGACCATTGTGCCTAAGTATTTATTTCCTTTTCTGACTTCTGATATCACTTATTGTCTAGACCCATAGAACAGTGAGACTAATGGTTATAAAATGTTAGCTCAGAAGTATAGTTACCTGGGTTTAGGTTTATACTCATACTTAGCAATTGTGAGACACTGGACAGGTTGCAGACTTTTTTGCTGGGCTTTGTTTTCCTTTTTTGAATGAAAGGGAAATTCTTACATACTGACATCATAGAAATAATATGGTAAAGTGCTAGGAATAGTGTCCTTCACATAATCACCATTCAATTATTTATTACTTATGTATGCATACATGTATTAGTTACTAACAGAATGCCCAGAAGAAAGTAAATGTTGAGTGAATGATAGTGTTTATCATTACTTTTCTCATTGCCTCATTTGACACTAAAGAGGGCTATGTTTATTTGTATTGAGATTTGTGTATATAATATACAAAACTGCAGTGACATAATAAAGGACTTGAAAACAAGGCTGTTATTTTTCCTTTTAACTTCTACCTCTAACATAATTGTTGGTCCTTAAATCATGTGGTCTGCTGGAACCAGATTGTACCAGCATCAGAGCTGATTGGGAACATTTCTTCTCATTCTCAACTTCTTGTTTAGTAACATCAGATTGGAAATTTAAAGTTAGCTACAGCAGTGTCTATGTTATAGAAACTGACACATGCTACCAATTGGGGTGTCCTCACACCCCAGAGTGCAGGTTGCTAACTATTTCCCAGCACTAGCTGATGAAATGTTTATCGATATTAGTATTAAAGTAAGTTTTTATATTTATAATAGTTTCTTGTGCCTCAGTCTGAAAACAATAATATTTGGAGGTTCCATTTTGTTTTACCTTGCTTTTTCTGTGTGTTTTTGTTATTGTTTTAGAGAGTACTTGGACCCCACTCTAGTCAATTTAATAGCAATATATACATTTTTGAGACTGACCTAGTTCAAAAATACTCAAGTTATATTTCAAGGGATGCTATAATGATGCATAAAGCACAATGTTACATCAATCTAGGGCAGTGGTCCCCAACACTTTTGACACCAGGGACCGGTTTTGTGTAGGACAATTTTTCCACAAACCAGGGGCCACGGGATGGTTTTGGGATGATTCAAGCACATCACATTTATTATGCACTTTATTTCTATTATTATTACATTGTAATATATAATGAAATAATTATACAATTCACCATAATGTAGAATCAGTGAGAGCCCTGAGCTTGTTTTCCTGCAACTAGACAGTCCCACCTGAGGGTGATGGGAGACAGTGACAGATCATCAGGAATGGGATTCTTATAGGAGAATACAACCTAGATCCCTCGCATGCACATTTCACAATAGGGGTCATGTTCCTGTGAGAATTTAATGCCGCCACTAGTCTGACAGGAGGCGGAGCTCAGGCAGTAATGGAAGCCATGAGGAATGGCTGCAAATACAGATGAAGCTACACTTACTAGCCCACCACTCACCTCCTGCTGTGCAGCCCCTGTTCCTAATGGACCACAGACCAGTAGTGGTCCATGGCACGGGGGTTGGGGAGCCTTGATCTAGGACACTGTACATTAATAATCATGGGTACACGGGCATATATCTCCATATATTCTTACATATAAGAAACCATATATGATTACTCTATTTTACTTTCTGCTTACACATTTGTTAAACTCCCATAAATTAATACTGTGTTTAGATCATTGACTCTTTATGGAAGGTTAATAGTATGTTGTTAATCATTTTGGGGTTGCAAACTGAAATGCCTACAACAGCACTTTCCCAACTACTTTGGTGACAAATGTATCACTTAGGATATTTGTTAAAATACAGAGTCCATATCATCATCCCAGTTTTATTGAACTAGAGCTTCCAAAGGATGAGCTGGAAACCTACATTTTTAGCCAACAACCTAGATGGCTCTTCTGATTTGGCAATTTAGGGAAACATAAGTTGATTGAAATGAAGTAGATGATTTAAGTGGATGAAGCAGGCTGAGTGACTGTAGCTTCTAGTATGAGTCACTGTTCAAGATAAACTGGAAATCTGGATTATTACATAAAATATTATAATTTTTAAATATTAATAAACTACTCATAGTCTTTGTGTTATTAACTTACAGGACAACTAAAACTTTTAACACACTTTTTGTCTAAAATATATATATTTCTCTACCTTCCCTCAAAATACTGTGAGTGTAGCAGTGAATGAGATGAGTCAACTCTCAGCCCATCTACAATCTCCCTGTTCTTGTTCGTTCTATGCCATTCCTCTCAATGCAGGTCTCTCCTCTGTTACTTACTCATAGTAAAGCAAAATCCTGTAAACCAAGTAAAGGAAAAAGAAAAGTAACAGATGTCTTTCTCCTATAACTGAGACATAGTATGTGCTCAAGAAATATTTCCTGAATACTTCTGAAAGTTTTAAAGAAAGAGTTGAATATTTTCAAGAAGTAGCTTTATTATATAAGCGTAAAAAGTTATTATATTGTTTTGATGTTAAAAGTGACTTGGGGTGAAAAAAACTGACTTTTCTGAACAGAAGAAGAAGGAGGGCATGAGGTTTATTTAAGAGCAATGGCTCTCAGTGTGGAACAAAGAGTTTTAACACATATCCAGTCCTTCTCTTCCTTCTTTTTTTTTCTTATATCCCTCCCCTAAAATGTCATATAACAAGATGCATACATTAGCTGTACCTGCATACATAGAGGGGAATATAAAGTCTTAGAGGCAGAGATTATGTCAATCTTTGTTTTTGCCATATCCCTGCTGTCTAACCTGATGCCAGGACCGTAGATTCCCTCCATGAATATTTGTTCAATGTGATAACGAATGAGTGAATAAATGCGTAAGTTGGAAAAGCACTTGCCATTTATGTTTATGTTAATAATGCTGCAGCTGTGTCCATTTAATTAAACACACACACAACCCATTTTTGATAGATGCCAATGGGCTCTATAGAGTTATTTTAGATCATGTGCAGCTTCACAGAATAGCTCTTAAAAAACACACATATACACACACATTTTTATTGAAATGGAATTCAACCTTTACATCTTGGTGAGCGCAGCTTTTCCAAAGGTTAAATATTGGGCTCATAGGAAGCAACTGCTCTGTTAAGAGAAAAGAAAAATATTCAGACTATCTTTATATAATCTTTGGGAAGATAAATAGAAAAAATATTATGCTAGTGAATCTGGGGGATTATAAGGGTTACTATGTACTATATGAGGAAAGAGCAAAAGGGTGGGGGGCAGGAAGGCCTCATTGTGATAGGTTCTGTGAAGCCTTCCAGGAGTAAGCACCAGTCCTGCTTCTTGGTAAGAGGCTGAAAGTAAAACCAGAGCTCTACATGTGCTACGCTTTTAGTCAGCAACCTGATGTCACCAAAAACGCATGCACCTGTGCATCTAAAATTAAAATATATAATATATATTTTTAATAATTTTGGTCTAGTTCTCAGATTGAGTCATATATTATTATTATTAAGACAGAGTCTCACTCTATCACCAGACTGGAGAGAAGTGGTAAAATCACACTTCCATCTCCCAGGCTCAAGCAATTCTCCCACCTCAGCCTTCTGAGTAGCTGAGACTACAGGTGCTTGCCACCACACCTGGCTAGCTTTGTCTTTTCTGTAGAGGCAGGGTTTTGCCCTGTTGTCCAGTATGGTCTTGAACTCCTGGGCTCAAACAAATCTCCCCTCCCAGTGTTGAGATGACAGGCATGAGCCGCGAGCCTGGCTAAGTTACATATTACTTATAACAGACTATTGTTTTTAAGGTGCAAAGTTGGTAACATTATTCTATATAGATGTATAAAATCACTATTATTAGAGTTTTTCATGGTTCTGAAGTATTTCTAGAGCCATCATGTATAATAAAAAACTTGCTACAACCAGGAAGATATGGAACAGAAAATATTAGCCTTGCCATACTGGAGACTGGTTTTATACCTTGGGCTATATCCATATGACCCTTTTCAATGATAAAATGCATCTGAAATTACATTCCAAGATTTCTGATCTTTTCGTTGCTTTCTACTTTATCACTATAATAATGACAACACTGTCAAAATTATAAACATTACGTATCTTGAGAGCTTTTTCCCCCAAGAAAGTAACAGAAGGCTATGCATTTGAACTGTAAAGCTGCAGAACACAATATAAGGTGAATATATTAGTTGCTAAGGGAAGCATTAAAAAGCAATGGATATAAATAAAGAAACATGCCCATTTCATTCTACTAAAACCAACAAATGTTTTTCAAATAAATTTGAAATAAAATGTTTTACAAATAAAAATGTTTTTTAAATAAAGCTATAAATAATATTGTAAAATAACTTTCCACGGAACTCCAAAAAATGTGCACATATCAAAATGAGCTTAAAAAGCAGCCTTAATCTGCAAAAGAAAGGCAAGCAGTAGGCAAAGGAAATCCAGTCTTTAAATCACAACCAGTTTAGGATTGCAGGAGTGTATTGCAGCCATTTTATATCTATCTTCTTGCTCACTGTTCTCTCATTCTTTCACATGCTAATTCCACATGATTTCTAGAAACTATTGAGTACACTGGGAATTTCCTCATTAGTTAAACCTTGTTTTAGTGCCTATGAAAATACTCCTTGAATTTCCAGTTAGCTTACATTGAAATTGTAGAAGTATCTAAATTACAACAAGTAATTGTATATAGCAAAATAAGAAAGCTGCTTTTTTGTTTGTTTGGAAATATAGTGGTTTTTTTTTTTTGCTTTGTTTTTATAAATGTTTGAAAACTAAAATTGTGAGACATATTCTGATGCATTTAATGTTTGCACTTTATGTTTTTTCTTCTCACTCTGTTACTCAGTATAACGTAGCAGTTAAGATTCTGGGCCTAAATATTCCCTGGATTTCGAATCCAGGTTTGTCACTTACCTGTTGTGTGATGTTGGTCAAGTCATTTAACTTTGTTGAGGCTACATTTTCTCAGATATAAAAGGAGCATCATACTATAGCTCCCTGATGGCAGCTGTATGAAAAGGAGTTTGAACATTGCCTGCCGCACAATTAGTAGTGTATGTAGTATTTTTAGATTAGATATTTTATGATACTTTATTTTCCTTTATACTAATAAAATCTCAGATCTTAAAGGAAAACTGATTCACCAGTATTATCTTGCTTTTTAAAGAAAGACTTTGTACAGCATATTTGAATGCACAAGATACTTAAAAGTAGGTTAATGAATGTGATATTGTATTACAAATAAAGGTTAACTTTTATATAACACAATATATTGTTGAATATACAGGTCTTCATTACCTGTATTCAGGTTTTGGAAATATTTAATAGCTTTTTTTTTAATTACTATAATATGGTTTGGCTGTCTCCCCACCCAAATCTCATCTTGAATTGTAATCCTGGAAACTCCCACATATCCAGGGAGGGACCTGGTGGGAGATGATTCATTCATGGGAGCAGTTTCCCCATGCTGTTCTCGTTATAGTGAGTGAGTTCTCATGAGATCTGAGGGTTTTATAAGACAACTTCCCCTGCTCTTGCTAGCTCCCTCTTTTCTGCCACCATGTGAAGAAGCTCCTTGCTTCCCCTTCCCCTTCCGCCATGATTGTAAGTTTCCTGAGGCTTCCTCAGCCATGTGAAGCTCTGAGCCAATTAAATTTCTTTTCCTTGTAAATTACCCAGTTTTGGGCAGTTCTTTATAGCAGTGTGAAAACAGACTAATACATACTGTAAATTCTGAGTGGGAGAAAACATATTATTCAGGATATAATATATACCGTTTTTCCAAAGAGCTAGTTACTTTTATCCCATTGATACAAATGAGCCCCACAATTGGGGCTCAGCCTGGGAAGGTTTTGGCTTTGATCAGAAAAAAATTCAAGAGCGAGCTGGCCATGGAAGAAAGGAAGTTTATTAGATTAACAGAGATTAACAGGACACAGCAAACTGGCTGCTCCACAGACAAAGCAGGGCCAACTCATAAGCAGAGAAGCACAGAGTAGCAGTGTACAGTAAAGCGGCTGCTCCACAGGCAGAGCAGCCCAGAGCAGCCATGGCAGCATACAGCAACAGTAACAGTGCAGAGCAACAGTCCCTGTAGATTGTTGGCTAGCTATATTTATACCCACTCTTAATTATATGCTAATTATGGGGGCACATTTTTCAGAGTTTTCTATAAAAAGGCAGGAGGAGTTCCCAGAACCAAATAAGATAACTTCTGGGTCAATACCATGACATTTACAAACTGTCATGGCACTGGTGGGAGGGCCTTATGCTAATGAGTAATGAAGGCAACTAGAGGTGGCTTTTGTCTGTATCTGATGGTTTTGTCTGGTTTCTCTGCTGCATCCTGTTTTGATCAGCAGGGTTGTCATCAGAAAACAAGTCCTGCTGATCTCCTACTTCACTATCATTTCTAATAAAAAGATTTTCCATGATACCAAAGATCCTAAGAATAGAAGTTCTTTAGCACATATGTAGCACAGGACACACTATGTAGCACATATGTAGCACAAAAAACACTTCCTAAAATCAGACATAGGTTTTCTGCAACTGGAGAGAAAAATGGGGGTAAAGATGTATAACCAACTTCATTATCATTTCCTGTTATTAGAAAGACATTTTTATTATCTGTTTAAATATAGATAGTAGACTGTATTAGTCCATTCTCTCAGTGCCATGAAGAAATACCCAAGACTGGGTAATTTATAAAGGAAAGAAGTTTAATTGACTCACAGTTCAGCATGGCTGGGAGGCCTCAGGAAACATACAATCATGGCAGAAGGTGAAAGGGAAGCGAAGCACCTTCTTCACAAGGCAGCAGGAAAAAGAAGTGCCGAGTCAAGAGGGGAAAAGCCCTTTATAAAACCATGAGATCTCGTGAGAACTCACTCACTATCAGGAGAACAGCTGAGGGGAAACAACACCATGATTCAATTACCTCCACCTGGTCTCTTTCTTGACACATGGGGATTGTGGGGATTTCCGTTCAAGATGAGATTTGGGTGGGGATACAAGGCTAATCATATTATAGCCTATAATATTTTGTGTAATTTTTAAAGAATTATACATGAGTGGATGAAGAAGGGAGACAGACTAGGAGTCTAATCAAGAGTGCTTCTGACTAGTCCCTGGATTCTGAAACACTGAAAAAAAAAAGAATTTTTAAAAAGCATCTAGCACAGATAATAAAAAACGTATTAGAGATATTTTGTTAGCCAAGAGATATGTATACCTATGTCTAATCAGACCCTTAGCTCTGAGGTGTTTTTCTTTAAGACAATTATGTGGAAGTATCAGAAACATTAATCCTTTCATCTATAAGATATTCATTTATGTTATTTGTTCACTCATGTTTACTGACTGCTTTGAATAATTACAATTAAAGAAAATGCATTATCCCTTGCAGCATGATTCTAAATTGTCTGGTCATGGCATAAAACTCCAGTTTCTACAACTCACAGGAAGGAATGTCCTGATTGCATTACTTAGTGATATTCAGCAAAACAAAAGCAATAGGATACACACAGACACACACACACACAGACACACACACGATGAAAATAATATTTATTGTAAGAAATTGGCTCACATGATTATGCAAACTGAGAAATTTATTATAAGAAATTGGCTCACACAGTTACGTAAACTGAGAATACAGTCCATGATCTACTGTCTGCATGCTGGACATTCAGGAGAGGTGTGGTGTAGTTTGAAGGTCTGACATCCAGGAGCACTAAGAGCAAAAAAATTGATGTTCTAGTCCAAGCACTCAGTCAGGGAATGAAGTTAACTTACTCTGCTTTTTCTATTCAGGTCCTCAAGGAATTGGATAATGCCCATCCACATTGGGAAACACCACATTTTCTTTATCTCTCACTGATTGATGGGCATTTGGGCTTGTTCCATATTTTTGCAATTGCAAATTGTGCTGCAAGTATCTTTTTCATATAATGACTTCTTTTACTCTGGATAGATAGCTAATAGTGGGACTGCTGGATCAAATGGTAGGTCTACTTTTAGTTCTTTAAGGAATCTCCACACTGTTTTTCATAGTGGTTGTACTAGTTTACATTCCCACCAACAGTGTAAAAGTGTTCCCTTTTCACCACATCCACCCCAACATCTATTATTTTTTTATTTTTTGATTATGGCCATTCTTGCAGGAGTGAGGTATCACATTGTGGTTTTGACTTGCATTTCCCTTATAATTAGTGACGTTTAGCATTTTTTCAAGTTTTTTGGCCATCTGTATGTCTTGTTTTGAGAATTGTCTATTCATGTCCTTAGCCCACTTTGTGATGCGATCATTTGTTTTTTGTCTGGATAATTTGTTTGAGTTCGTTGTAGATTCTGGGTAAGACTCCTTTGTTGAATGTATAGATTGTGAAGATTTTCTCTGACTCTGTGGGTTTTCTGTTTACTCTGCTGATTATTTCTTTTGCTATGCAGAAGCTTTTAAGTTTAATTCAGTCCCATCTATTTATCTTTGTTTTTGTTGCATTTGCTTTTGGGTTCTTGGTCATGAAGTCTTTGCCTAAGCCAGTGTCTAAAAGGGGTTTTCCAATGTTATCTTCTAGAATCTTCATGGTTTCAGGTCTTAGATTTAAGTTTTTAATCCATCTTCAGTTGATTTTTGTATAAGGTGAGAGATGAGGATCCAATTTCATTCTTTTACATGTGACTTGTCAATTACTTCAGCGCCATTTTTCAATAGGGTTTCCTTTCCCCACTTTATGTTTTTGTTTGGTTTGTCAAAGATCAGTTGGCTGTAAGTACTTGGCTTTATTTCTGGGTTCTCTATTCTGTTCCATTTGTCTGTGTGCCTACTTTTATACCAGTACCATGCTGTTTTGGTGACTATGACCTTTTAGTACAATTTGAAGTCGGATAATTTAATACCTCCAGATTTGTTCTTTTTGCTTAGTCTTGCTTTGGCTATGTGAGCTCTTTTTTTGGTTTCATATGAATTTTAGGATTGTTTTTTCTATTTCTGAAAAGAATGATGGTGTTATTTTGATGGCAATTGCATTGTACTTGTAGATTGTTTTTGGCAGTATGGTTATTTTCACAACTTTTATTCTACCCATCCATGAGCATAAGATGTGTTTCCATTTGTGCATTCTATGACTTCTTTCAGCAGTGTTTTGTAATTTTCCTTGTAGAAGTCTTTCATATCCTTGGTTAAGTATATTCCAAAGTATTCATTTATTTTTCTTACTGCTATTATGAAAGGGGTTGAGTTCTTGATTTGATTCTCAGCTTGGTCGCTGTTGGTGTATAACAGAGCTGCTGATTTGTGTATGTTAATTTTGTATCCTGAAACTTTGCTGAATTCATTTACCAGTTCTAGGAGCTTTTTGGATGAGTCTTTAAGATTTTCTGGGTATACAATCATCTCATCAGCAAACAACGAGTGTCTGACTTCCTCTTTACCTATTTGGATGAGTTTTAGTTCTATCTCTTGTCTGATTGCTCTGGCTAGGACTTCCAGGACTATGTTGAATAGAAGTAGTGAAAGTGGGCATCCTTGTCTTTTCCAGTTTTCAGGGGGGAATGCTTTCAACATTTCCCTGTTCAGTATAATGTTGGCTATCGGTTTGTTGTAGGTGGCTTTTGTTACCTTAAGGTATGTCCCTTCTGTGCCGATTTTGCTGAGGGTTTTAGTCATAAAGAGATGCTGGATTTTGTCAAATGCTTTTTCTGCATCTATTGAGATAATCATGGTGATTTTTGTTTTTAATTCTGTTTATGTGGTGTGTCACACTTTATTGACTTACATATGTTAAACCATCCCTGCATCCAGTTGATCATGGTGGATCCACTAGATCATCTTTTTGATATGCTGTTGGATTTGATTTGCTAGTATTTTGTTGAGGATTTCTGCATCTGCTTTCATCAGGGGTATTGATCTGTAGTTTTTGTTTTTTTTTTTTTATGTACTTCCCTGGTTTTGGTATCAGGGTGATACTGGCTTCATAGAATGATTTAGGGAGGATTCCCTCTTTCTCTATCTTTTGAAATAGTGTCGATCAGATTGGTACCAATTCTGTGAATGTCTGATAGAATTCAGCTGTGATTTGGTCTGGCCCTGGACTTTTTTTTGTTGTTGGCAATTTTTTATTACCATTTCAATCTCGCTGCTTGTTCTTGGTTTGTTTAGAGATTCTTTACCTTCCTAGTTTAATTTAGGTATATTTCCAGGAATCTATCCATCTCCTCTTAATTTTTCTAGTTTATGTGTGTAAAGGTGTTCATCATAGCCTTGAATAATCTTTTGTGTTTCTGTGGTATCAGCTGTAATATCCCCCATTCCGTTTCTAAATGAGTTTATTTGAAACTTCTCTCCTCTTTTCTTGGTTAATCTGGCTAATGGTCTGTCAATTTTATTTATCTTTTCAAAGAACCAGCTTTTTATTTCATTTATCTTTTGTCTTTTTTGTTTGTTTGTGTGTTTCAATTTCATTTAGTTCTGCTCTGATCTTCATTATTTCTTTTCTTCTGCTGGGTGTGGTTTGGGAGTGTTCTTGTTTCTCCAGTTCTGTGAGGTGTGAGCTTAGATTGTCTATTTGTGCTCTTTCAGAATTTTTGATGGAGGCATTTAATGCTTAGCACTGCTTTTGCTCTATCCCAGAGGTTTTGATATATTGTGCCCTTATTATCATTCAGTTCAAAGAATTTTTAAATTTCCATCTTGATTTCGTTGTTGAGCCAATGATCATTCAGTAGCAGGTTATTTAATTTCCATGTATTTACATGGTTTTGAGGGTTCCTTTTGGAGTTTATTTCCAATTTTATTCCACTGTGGTCTGAGAGAGTATTTGATATAATTTTAGTTAGGTTTTTGATAAAAGAATAGGAGGTTTCTAGCTAAAGAAGGAAAAGTGAGGGTTAAGACAAAACATTCTAGATGGCGGGGATAATATACGCCAAGGTTATAAAAGGACATGTTATAATCAGAAAATGATCAGGAAAAATGCTAATGAATCAGATATGTGGGAGAGGTCAGAGATAAGCCTAGAAAAATAAGTTGTCATTCGATGGAAATATAAAATACCTTTTGTTCCCCATGTTTATTGATCTTTTCAATAGCTTAGTTATCCTGTCCTAGACTTGGTATCAACCTCACACACTCTGTGCAACAATTTCTCCCAACATCTTCTCTGAATGTCTTCTGCAGCCCTCATTATTATCTCTTATGAAGATTCCACAAAACTGATTTATGTAGGGGCTGGCTATTAGGTGTGAACTTGTAAGGAATGCAATTGTAGATAATGAATTAATATGATTCATACTTTTCTGAAATAAAGAAAAATCAAAGAAGGAATCTGCTGAAGATCACTTCAGGTATATTTTTAACTTCAAATTCTAATTTAAAATATAATTTAAAAATATATGGGCCTAATTGCTTTCTAAAGAAGTAGCTGAAGTGATATGACTGCATAAGGATAATCAGAGCGATCTCTTCCTAAGGCTAGAATATTTTTCTAGCATGATTACCTTCTCTTCCTACCATTATTTTTAAACAGTTTATATATATATGTATATATATAAAAACTGTATATATGTATATATATAAACTGTTTATATATTTACATATGTATATACATATGTATATATACGTATTATATATGTATATTATATGTATACATAATATACATATATACCTGTATTATATATGTATATTATATGTAAATATATAAACTATATATATATATGTATACACATATATAAATTTTCTTTTCCTGCAACTATCTTTTTTTTTTTTCTAATCAAATGTATAGCCCTCATTGATGGGAAGAGAAGCTAAAGTAAGGGGAAGTGAGATGAAGTGGATGCAGGTTTGCACATGCCTTTGCTATAAGACACGGGTCCCTAACCTTTGGGCTGTGGACCTTTACAAGTCCGTGGCCTGTTAGTAACCAGGCCACACAGCAGGAGGTTAGCCACAAGGAAGTGAGCATTATTGCCTGAGCTCCACCTCCTATCAACTCAGCTGCAGAATTAGATTCTCATAGGAGCACAAACTGTATTGTGATCTGTGCATGTCAGGGATCTAGGTTGTGTGCCCCTTTTGAGAATCTAACTGATGCCTGAAGATCTGCGGTGAAACAGTCTCATCTTGAATATTCCCCACCCCGCCTCACCTCACTACCCCCAACATCCTGTGGAAAAATTGTCTTCCACAAAACCAATCTGTGGTACCAAAAAGGTTGGGGACAACTGCTTTAGGAGACTTTAAATGAATTCTAAATAATTCTAAACCTGCTGATAATTCTTCAGGCGGAAGGGTGATTATCTTATTCAAAGGAATTGATATAATCATTCAAAGAAGACTTAGAGCAACTAAATTGCATTTAACATGTTATGTATAAAATATAGAAGATCTAGAAATACAGAAGGTATAGAAAATGGATATAGTCTCTGCCCCTGTAGAACTGCAGTATATAATGATTTTTCTTTAGTGAGCAAAATTGACTTATGCTGGAGTTATAACCAGAATGAGATAATTTAAAAATTAACCATCATTGAGTACTTTCTTAAAAACCAAAATGTTCTACAAGAAAGGGAAATAATGGTTCCATCCTTATTGAAAATTGGATAATTTGTCTTAAGAAATACTAACAATTGCTGAAGTTATAAAGTTAAGATACTTAGGTACCTTCCTAGAAAAAAAATATTAAGCTTCAGAAAAATTTATAGTCAGATAACATTTTAGTTAAAAAAAATCAAGGGAAAATGCAAGTGCTCTTAAATTTTCAAGAAAACAATAACAAAACAAAACAGGAATTAAAATTCTGGTAATTTTTTGAAAAGAAAAAGAAAAGGATTCCATGTTTCTTTTTCTGTACTGTATACCATAAGGACTTGAAAATAGATTCATTCCATTAATTTCATAAGAAACAACTATTCATCTAAATTGGTATATTCAAATTTGTCTATACTTTAAGCATGATATCGGCATCTATTTAGAATTAATGTTTATATGTGTTATCCCTGTATTTCTCATTTAAATCATGGTTTATTTTATTGCTTTTTGTATATTACAGGTCTAGTAAGCTTATTTATCAATTTCAGTTGAAGATGAGTGATATCATAAATCCTTATTTAGTTAGCTTTTTCTTTCAAAGAATAAAATATATATTTAAATTTACTTAGTTGTCAAGATTATTTTTGACAGTTTTCAAAAAGTCACAAAAAGGCAAAATTTGTATAAATGCATTTAAGTTGCAATGCCACTCCGAACGTTGGGTAGATGGATCCCCCAATTCTAGTAAGTGATAGGTGAGGCATTTATAGAGTTGTCTCAGTTCTGAAGAGTGGATAATAGCTTCACTGTATCAAATAGAGTTCAAGCAGAGAAGCACGATAAATAGAATCAAGAAGAAGTATTCAATTTTTTTTGTTTAAAATTTTTTTAAAGTTTGTTATATCCCAATGAATTTATGCCTCTACATACCAAAATTATCCCATATTCATTCACATGACATATTATTCACTTATATTAATGTTTTTATTTAGCTCCAGAAAGTATACTTTGGTAATAAGTTGTTATGTACAATTAAGATTTAAGTAAATTTTAAATTGCTTAGTACATATTAATTATTTGTTGTTTTCAAACTTTCCAGTATAAGTATAACACATATAGAATATTGGATACATGGTTGCACATGCCTTTGCTAGGCAACACAGTGCACACAAGAAAGTAATCTCAGAGAAAAGAGAGAGAGCTTGAGTTATATTAACAAACTGGTTTTGTGACAGTGGAGACTGGCTAAGCCAATCTGAAATATTTAGGGTACCAGTCAGGAAAGGACAATTATGTACAGGATCGAACTCCACAGGTACAGGCCAAACCTGTTGTTCATGGGTGGAATTTTTTTATCTCTCTCAGAAAAACATCAGCCCAAACCTTGTATTTTCAAAAGAATATGGATATATAGATATATATACTGATATATGAATGTATTTTGAACATTCCACGCAGATTTCACTTTCAATATATATCTCACAATCAACAAAAGGCAGAGTATCTCTTTTCCCATTCCTTTCTCCTTTCCTTCTTCAGTGTCATTATTTTAAAACTCATGCCATTTTCATCTGCCCACTCTCTTTACTTGCTTCTCATAATCTGACATACACAAATATATGCACATACACGTTCAAAAACGTACACACACACATACACACATGCCCCAAATAAATTGAAGAAATAAAATATAAAGATAAAGGTTCTCATATATAGTATCAAATTGATTATAAAATGTATTGATTATTTGATATGCTAGTTCTGTTTTCTAAATGTTAAGGTGTAGCAGTAAAAGTACTTAAGTAGAAAGCTGGAAATCAGTGTTTAAATACGGATTTAATATTACAGCAATTTGACTTTCAATTTTAGAAGGTGCATATTGTCAATTTACTTGCCAATGATTTAAGTTGATAGTTCATTTATTACCCTGCGTTTTGATTATTGTGTTTTAGAAACACACAAAAAAGTATTTTTCTCATAATTAATACAGAATTTTAAAATATATTGAGAAAGATATAAAAATTAATTTCAGTAATATAATTTTAAAACTCATGAACCCTGAAATAAGTTGCACTTGACTTTAAGTCTTCTTCAACATTTTATAATCTGCCACCAATGTAGTGTTCCTTTGTTGAGATTATTTGGAAAGATTATTTAAAATGTGAGAACTGTATATGAGATGACAGCCCTGAAGTTTCTCAGTTAAGGAAATGACACAGAGATCCAAAAAGAAAAAACCAGATTATGAGATTAGAGTACATCACAGAGTTACATCAAGTTAAATTCAGAATTATCAGACGTATCTATCTCTGAAAAGTATTTTGAGAGAGTACAAGTTAGTCAAAAGAAACAATAGAGTTGGTACAAGCGACTTCATGTTTTCAATCTAGTAATAATTAGTCTTCAAAAATACATGAACCTAGAGTTTTGATCTGTATGGACCACATCTTGGCATATGACATCTTTCTGAAGAGGTGTTTTTTCCCCCTGACAACTTTGAAATTGAAGGCAAAGGAAACATATAGGAAGCAGATGAGCCTAGGCAGGAGCTTTCAGGAATTGCCAGTTGTTCACAGGAGGGAATTTTCCCCGTCAAATATTAAGATGTTCTGGGTAAGATTAGAAACTTGTTTGCATTCACACTTTGAGAGTAGATTCATCCTCAGACATAGACTTATATCAAACAAGATTATAAGCAAATCTTAAATTTCTACAGAGATTCATATGCACAGGCATATAGATATGTAAAAATAGACACAGCATTATAGTTAAACATGTCAAATCCTCACAGCCTTGTATCTCTATTTCAGCACGATTGTTCTATTATATAACAAACAACACCACTTGACTCAATTCATCTTTGTCCAAAGCAGAGTACCGCACACTTAGCAGTAAACACTCCAGAAATACTTTTTGCATTCTTATTGTAGAATTCCTCATAAAACTATGTTATTCAATTCTATGTTTACACCTTTTAACAAATTTGAAACTAGACAAAAATAGTATAATTGACCTAAGTATCTAATCTTAATGGCATAATTAGTAGAGTGCATGATTTGAAAATTATACTAGAATCATTTCTCCTATAACTTCATTGTTAAGAGAGAGAAACGGAAAATGGGCAAACCCAACATATTTCATCACTGAACTTGTGACATCTCTCTTGTCCAAAGATCACAGAACTATCAGTTATTATAGACGAAAATTGGAAATATGATGAAATACTACCAAGCTACAATCGATGATTTGTTCATTTGCAGTAAATTAGACTTGGGAAGTGAAATCCCAGTGACTAAAACTGACAAAAGTCCTTCTGAATATGGAAACTAGAAGGGAGGTATTCAGTGGTGCAATGTCCAGGTTTCCTATTTGCAATAGACACCCACATCCTTTCCCCACCGTCTCATGAAATACTTAAATCCACAGGCCTGAACACCTTTACTGAAAGGTCTTGCTTCTCATCATAGGAGATAGCAATTATAAGATTTATCTCTGGCCTCAGTTGTCTGGGTTCTTATTATTTTCTTAAAATGTGTCTGCAATAAGTCATAATGAGAAAAAAAGTATTTAAATCATTTTAGTTAAGATTTTAGTCTTTATTTACCAGTTGAATATAATCCGAAGGAACAAGAAAATGAAAAGGAAAAAATTTTCCTCATTTATAGTAAGTATATTTTAATGTGAGCTAAAACAAATCTATTCAATTCCTATAATATGGGAGAAATTGTTTTAAATTAAATTTCCCAGTGGACATACAGGATCTTTATGTCACTTCTTCAGTGACGTTCTCAACATGAAATCGCATAGCTGCTTAAAGCAGTTGTGTCTTCAAGTTGCTAATAACCACATAACAATGCTTAGTGGCAGCTTTTCAAATAAATACACAACGCAAACCTTGCAAGTCTCTCCACTTAGAAAACAAACCAAATTAATGAATAAACAAACATCATTACCCAGTTATAAAAACAGCAAATTAATAAACATAACTATCGTTTCTTACAGGAGCTGAAACAATAGAGTCCCTTAAAACTTTATTCTTAATTTTGTCCTGTAGACTTATTTAAGACTCATAGTTTTCAGAAAATTTGCTAATCCTATGTTTAATAAAATAATTCAGATTTTTCTTTTGGAGAGAAAATTTGAAAATTTGGGCTAATTAGAGATATAAGAAATCAAAAAGAATGCACATATAAAAGTAAGCAGCTTCCTTGTATCTAACTATATATATCTAACATCCTTAGTATTTTGCTTTCCTGATACTTTGGAAAATTATTGTTATGAAAGAAAAAAAAGAATCAGTAAAGAAGAAAAGCAGGAGAAGATTGAGTGGTTTCATATTTTTAAAGCAACTTGCCCTTTTTATTTCATTGATTTCTTATATTGTTTAGTATGATTGTTCATTCATTTATTTAAAAAACTATGGGTTTAGCAATGTTTGAGACAGAACACCCAACACTCAAAGTAAAATGAATTCTAGGACAAAGGGGAAAAGGAGTGATTAGTGTGCCGAGACTAAGACTGTGCCTACCTCAGACCTTTTACCTTGTCAGCAAGAGTAAAGAGGTAATTTTAGTAAACTATTCATTTTTTCTATCCCTAGACTTCACAGCCTCAACTTTCCTATCTGTTTGAATACATAGGGACTAATCCTATTATGTCCAGTATCAGCTTATTCACTCTCTAATGAATTATTCCCATCAGAAATGCTCCTATTTACTTTTTGGCTTCCCTTGAAACAGTTATTTAGTTATTTATATTTATCATTTCCATCTCCCCTCCCCTTAATCTCTCATCTACCTGCACCAAACAGGCTATTGTTCTGTGACTCCATGGTGCCTGTTCTTATCAAGGTCACAATACTAACTCCAATAGTTAATTATCAGTCCTTGTCTTACATAATGAATAAACAACATTACCACAGTGTTGATTATTGCTTCCTGAATACAATATTCCTACCTAGCTTTCAAGTGATCAGGCATTCTTTCTTAGTCTTATATCTCATGGGCAAGGCCCTATCCGTTTTCTCCTTTTGCTGACCTCTTAATATTGCTCCTTTGGGGCTGTCTCTGTGGTTGTCTTTGCTACCAACAGTGACCTCTTGGGTGATCTCATCCATGTTCATGGCTGTATCCTAATGACACTCACATTTATATCTCCAGTTCAAGTCTCCCTTCCCACTTCAGATCATAAGTACAGCTGCCTACTGGATATATCCACCTGGAGTTCCAATAAAAATATCAAATTTGGCAGCATAAAAGTGAAGTCATAATTTCCCTACTCTATCTTACTGGCTTCACCTAAAGTCTTTCGACTGATGGCAACTTCATCATTTTATAGTCAGGCCAAAAACTGAAATCATTCTTTCTCTTTTTCTCCTTCATATCCTCATACTTACTTATCTTCTCAGCTCTCTCTTCAAGATTTTTAGAAAATACGACCTTTTCTCTCCATCTCAACTATCATCAGTATGTATGTTGCTTCATTTAAAAACTTCCATAATTTGCAGCAACCTGGATGAGATTGGAGACTATTATTCTATGTGAAGTAACTCAGAAATGGAAAGCGAAACATCATATTTTCTCTCTTATAAGTAGGAGCTAAGCTATGAGGATACAAAGGCATTAAGAATGGCACAATGGACTTTGGGGACTCAGGGGGAAAGGGTGGGAAGGGGATGGGGGATAAAAGACTTGAAATTGAGTGCAGTGTATACTGCTCGGGTGATGGGTGCACCAAAATCTCACAAATCACAACTAAAAAACTTACTCATGTAATGAAACACCACCTGTTTCCTAATAGCCTATGAAAATAAAAAATTAAAAAAAATAAAAACTTCCATAATTAAAATTAATAAATCATGTTTTTAAGAGACCATGAGCCAAGATAAATTTTAAAATCTGGCAATACTGTCTATCACATTTGAATATTGAAGATCATTTTTGAAAGCTGTAGACAATTTGTGGAAATTGAAGCTCAAGAAAGACATTAATAATACTCATTATTGTGACAAACCAATATGTAAGAATCACTCAGCTAAGAAACTAATACCTTCTTGAATTTTATCCTCATGCCATTAATCTAATTAGTCAAAAAGTCCCATTAATTAAAATTGCAAGTTATCTCTGCAACATTCTCAATTTATACACAGACCTTTATCATGCATTGCAATCATCTTCTTACCTGCTCCCTTTTCTGCCTCTAATCCCAATTCTCTTGATCTCCCTCATAAAACTATTAACATTTCCTTTGTAAACCAGATGAAATTATTTCGTTTTTACCTAACTTAAAGACCTTTGATGGCTCTCTACTATTTCTACAGAAAAAAAATGTATTTGGCAGATTATTCAATTTCCTCCATAATGTGGCACTAACACCACTTTTCTAAATCAATTCCCCTGCATTTTCCTCTATATCCAACCTTCCTTCAGCCAAATGCCATCTTTCACCCAAAATTCTGCATATATTTCTATCTGCACACATGTAACTTTCTTTTCTTGTCTTTCTGCCTATAATACACTTCTTTAGCATTTTATATTTATATACTGTAACTGTCAAGAGCCAGCCCAAGTGTTAATGTGTCCATGACACATTGCTCCCTTCTGTTTGCTAGTCAGGAAGAGTAATTCCCTGTTCTTTATTTAAATTTTGTAGGGAGACAATTCTTAATAGGTTCCTCACATTTCTGTGCATCTTGTAAATAGAGCCACTGACTGTCTTTGTTCTGGATTATTTTTTCAAGAACTTGTTTGGTATATCAAACAGTCCTGTTAGACCAAGAGAGCTTTTTATTTCGTTTATGGTTTTTGGTTTTTTTCCATTGGAGCAAAGGTCAGGCATGCTTACTGCTTATTATAAAAGATTCATGTTCCCAAAGCTCAGGTTTCTTCTCCTCTAATGCAACCCACTGCATGTACGTCTTTGACATGGTTCACTTTGTGTCACTCTGAGAAGATTGAGGCTAGGGCAATCAGTGCATTCTGGCTACTGCTAGTGTTATGAGTAATGAGCTATTTTATTTTTTTAATTTCTGACCCTATATTTTAGCGTCTTCTGCCAGCATCAATACAATTGTGGTAGGCTATCATATTAACTTAGAAGTAGGAGAAAATATCAAATATTCATTCAGCTATGTATGTTATTGCCCTTTTATACCTGCCCTAAAGGGAACACATTAAATTCAATTTTGTTCATATTTACTGTGTGTGGGCGGCTATTGAGTAGGCCCTAACACTCAATAAATGTTTGTTGAGTAAATGGGTAAATAATTTAATAGCAATGTGATTATAATTCCCAAGGCATACTGATTAAGTTCTCACAGATGGACAGCCAGAAGTATTTTCAGTGAACTGCTGTGGTGGAAAGGAAATACATATTAGCAATAACTTTTAGCTATAATGAACTTGTTTCCTTAAAATTGACCATTTTCTGTCTACATATTTTTACTCATCGTGTTCCTTATACTTCAATTGTCTTTCCCTACACTTAAACTTTCCATTAATCTTCCATGATCTGTCTTAGAAGTCATGTCCTTGGTAAATTATTCCCATGTTATTCAATCGCATGCAATCTCCTCCAACTCTGTTTAATTTACTTTGTCTAGAGCTCAATTACAGAGCTTATTAGAATTGAACTTGCTTTTTATCCTTTTGTTATCTTTTTCAGTAGACTGTGAGTTCTGCCAACGCAGCAGTTATGTCCAATTGATCTTTATATCACCCACTGTGCCAAGCACAGTGTGTAATAGAAGATCAATAAATATCAATTTAATTAAATAGAGTAAAGTATTACACATTGAACCATTAATTGATTCTGATTTCTTTTGCCACTGTATTCTTGATCCCTTTCCATGTACTTGTTTTCAATTCCATTATTCCTGAGGTGAGTTAAAGCCAAGTGAATTCTTTCCAGCAAATGATTTTTTTTTTCAGGCATCTAGACAGCTGGGATGCTACCATTACTTGTACTTAAGAGAAAAAAAAAAAGAAACACAATTTGGTGGCATTTGAATATCTGTGAGGACAATGACATCCAACAGCTTTTCATCTAGTTTGAAAATGCATGTGGTGAAAAAAAAAAGTGAAAGCCAAATTCTTTGAGTTTTCACAGATGGAAACACTGTCTGCAGAAAGCCAGTAGGGGTAGTCAGTAAATGTCTTCAAAGGAAGTAGGAGAGAAAGATAGAAAATATAAATCTCTATATATTGAAATAAGTTTTCAGACCATCACATGGCAAAGGAATATTTATTATAAAGTGTGATTTTTAAGTGATATGAATAATTGATTATTTTCTTATTGCCATCAAAGGTATACTGGGTGAGCCCCTTCTAAAAACATGTCAAAATATGTTGACATAGAAATTCCACTAAAATATCTCTTTTTTCAATAAATATGTTGATTAACCTGATATTTCCTGTTTTCTTATAACCAAGATGCTGATATTTCAATATTTTGACTGATTAGAATGGCAGCTGTAAAATGAAGTGAAATTTTAGATTACATTTTTAGAAAGCAATTACTGAGGAGGACTTGTTTAACATAATATATAGATATTTTACAAATTACTTCAGGAACCATCATTTTCTCCATTTCCATTTATAAAATGAACTAAATATTTTCTATACAACTTTAAGGAAACTCTCTGCTACTTTGACACCCATTAGATAAGGAAGATTAGCAACAAAAACTGGAGATATTTGTTTTCAGGAGAAGAAATGTATCCATCCTAACCTCCTGACCTGCAATCAAAGAAAGCTCTTACTTGTTACGCTCAATAAATCTATTCGTATTTGGACTGAATATTACTCCAGACAATACGATTATAGTCTCCACTTTTAGAGATACTCAATGCTATTGTATTATATAATATGAAATCATTTTCTCTACATTTGTGAACCCTCAAATGAGAAATGGCAACATCAAAGTTTTGGGTAATTTTGAATAAATAAATTACCCTTTACAAATACTCTTTACAAATCCAAAAATACCCTTTACATATCCAAAAAATAGAAAACAATATCTATGAGTTACAAAGTGATTATTAATTAATATGAATATGTTTGTCACGTTCTTAAAAATCTTAAATATGCTAAAGATTTTTCAGGTCAGATGTACAAAATATATTTTTCTTTGATAATTTTTTCTTCTTTTTTAATTTTTTCAGTTAATAGACTTTATTTCTTGAACCAGTTTTAAGTTTACAGAAAAATGAATGGAAAATGCAGAGACCTCCCATATACCTTTCACCCCTACCCCTGCCTGTTTTCCCTATTACTAACATCTTACGTTAGTGTGGTACATTTGTTATAATTGATACATCATGCTTTGAATTTTAACTAGAAAAGCTTTGGAAAGAAGTCTTATTACCATATCCAATAGAGGGCATGATACTCAAATAATATAATTGTAAAATACCCCAAACAGGTAGGGCAGTTAGTAATAATATCTAGCAAATGAGTTCTGATAACCATGTTTTTTATGTTTCGTTTTCTTTCTGTTGTAAAAAGAAATCTATTACCACTTTGGCTTCTATCATAATTGTTCCTTCAGACTTCACCTGATATTATGATCCTGATATTATGATCCTGTCTCTCCATTCTCCATACACTATTATCTTGCTGATGAAGAATATGGTACCAAAACATAGAAAAAAATAGAAAAGAACAATTTTATATGGAACAAAGAGATATACAGTGGAATAATGACAAAATGAAACTGTCATTTGCATGAGTGGCAGGAAATTAGTATAAAAATAAAGCCTGCTTAGGAATGTCATCAACATTTTATTTTATGTGTAATTTGAACAAAGGCATATTGGGAAAAGTTTTCATAATTAATGTCCTTATGAAAGAAACATGGTCTGTTGCATACAGGTGAGAAAGACAGTCACAAGACAAATTCTAACTGAAAATATACAGTTCCTTATTAACTCATAGATGAGAGCTATAATCAGTTTCCAGAATGGGAGAACTAGAAGCATATATAAAAAAGCATACATCCTATTACTCATAGATTTATATGTATAATTATGAATGGCAAGTATATAGTAAGTGCAGTGTCCTAAGGAGTTAAAAGAAAATTGATAAACGGGCTTAACTGGCAGAAACAGAAACGGGTAGAGGAAAGCAAATATTCCAAGAAGAATAAGACCAATCACAAAAGGCTCACTAGCACTCAGAGGTCCTGTCACTGGCACTCAGCTCACAGCCTACTTGCACCCAAGTCTTTACCCCTGTGTGCCACCCTAAAATAGTTGCTGACCATGACAATAAGCATGTATAGCTATTATTCTGTGGTGTTTATTTAACCATTCTCAGTGAGTCCATCCAGTTATCTTCATAAATGTTCAAAATAAGTAATGACTGGAGGTTGGTATAGTCATAAGTGGCTATCTAGGCCAGGTGGAACCCTACTGATTCTTGCAGGTAGGATTCTGTTTCACTTAGTGGCAAATCATGTAAAATTCTGCTTTAAAAATTTTATGTTTATTCAGATATAGTACAAATTATGTGTGTACCATGAGAACACTTTTCTCACCTTAGAATTTTCTACTCTCATAAATGAAGAACAGTAAAACATCTAAACAATATTAATTTCTCAACAAGAAGCTAATTATAATGAACTCCCAATATCCTAATATTGGGATAAACTAAGATCTCATTTTATTGTAAATGTTATTAATGCCCTTAGGAATTTTGAATTCACATTGTTTCATATATTGTAATGGCTTTTTTCCTCACTGATCTCAAGTTATATTGACTTTAGCCTTCTAAAAATCCCATCTTCAGAGTTTATACAATTGTTTGCAAATAATTAACTAAAGACATTATTCAGCATTTAAATATGCTTAGTAATTGGATGTTTTTATTGTAATGTGTATTCTAAGAGGAATTACAATTACCCTATAGTCATATAGGGGTTTTTTTTCTGAATACGTTAACAATATCTATTAGACCTAGAATTGAACTTAAAATTTCAATTACTTTAGGAAATGGGTGGCCGGAGATTTTGATGGCAAACTTTACTTTATAAGTATTTCCTGCTCGATTGACTTTACTTATCCTTATTCTGATGTATATGTTGAAGGGCAAATAAATTTCATTTATGCCACCTCCCCAGCCTCCGTTTAATTATGTCTTATTGTTAAGTTGCTAGGAAAATATTTTCTAATTCTGTGCAAGTTCAGATTCCTGAAATATTTTACACAAAATGATTAAAGAAAAAATGGGAGCTTTTCTTTAGCAAGCTGTAGACTAGCAATGTCTATGGGGAGGGGTCGGGACTCAGGAAGTCCATTTATAATCTAGTAGCAGTGGCTAACTTCTTATATGAATGAAAAGAACATTGTGAAGTCAGAGTCCAAGCTAATAGGTTAGCTAATGAACTTCCCTTTGTAGTTACCGATATATTAGTGAAATATTAATTAGAAATGAATGAGAATATGTTCTTCCTCTACTTGAGTTACAGGAAGAACAGCATAATTCTCTTGAGAAACCTAAAACACTGTGAATGACACGATGCTCATTAATAGTCAATCAATTGAATGCTTTGCAAATTAGTGTGACAGGCAGAAATAAGATATTTGTGATGTTAGAATGATTTACTGTCAGATAACTATGTGTCAATCAGGCATAATAAATTAGGACTGATGATAGCCCTTTTAAAGTCACCTGTTTTTCAAAGCTGTAGTCATTCTGAGGGAGTACACCAAAGACCTACTGAAGCTAGCTGATAGAGTTTGGATATGTGTCCCCACCGAAATCTCATGTTGAATTTAATCCCCAGTGTTGGAGGCAGGGCATGGTGGGAGGTGACTGGACCAGCAGGGTGGATTTCTCATGAACAGTTTGGCATCATCCCCTTGATGTTGTTCCTGTAATAGTGAAGGAGTTCTTGTGAGATCTGGTTTTTAAAAGTCTGTGGCACCTGCCCCCCTTGTCTTGCTTCTGCTTTGGCCATGTGACCTGCCTGCTACACATTTACCTTCGATCATGATTGTAAGTTTCCTGAGGCCTCCCAGGAATCTGAGAACACACCAGCTTTGTGCTTATTGTACAGTCTGAAGAATCATGAGCCAATTAAACCTATTTTCTTTATAAATTAACCACTCTCAGATATTTCTTTATAGCAATGCAAGAACAGCCTAGGAGGCTAGAATTCTAATAGTATGAAAACTGAGAAATCACTTTATTTTTATTCATTGGCAATGATTTCCTTCCTTTTATTCCTTTTCTATATAGTCTGCTCTAGGCAACCAGGGTGGACATCTGTGGGTACAGGGAACAACGCTTTTTGCTAATGAGCACCGAAGCCTTCATGACAAACAGATGATATCTGCAGATGGTTGGTATCTTCAAACCTCCTCCGTCGTTCAATTCTCTCAGATTTGTATACAAATCTATTTTAACACATATTTCAACATAAATTTCTCATATGTACAGAAAATCTCACCTGAAACCATTTTTTCTATGTCACTTCAAAAAGCCTTTGGTGTTTATATGTTAATCTTCACAGAGTTGTAATTAGGAAAGTGTATGTGTGTGTGTGTGTGTGTGTGTGCATACATGCATTGCTGCTAAATGCACGATTCATAATTAATCCATTTCAGCCCCATTTCCTTCTAAGATTACATTATACACTGCAATCGTTTTGCTGATTACAGTATAGATATGACAACAAACAAAAATGAAGACTATTTTGGACCTTTCACAAAAACTTTCTGGACTCTCAAGAGAAGTTTATAAATATATGCAAAAAATAACGATTCAGGGCTTTCAATAAATTGCTCCAATTAAAAAGAGGGGAATATCTACTTGGAATTTCAGAATTTTTCTTTGAGACCTGTAATGAAATATCTAGCCCATTAGTGGAAATATTAATTTATGGCACTGTTTTGAAAACCAGGTTCCTTTTTGTTTTTCTTATATAAAAAGTTAGTAAATAGTAGTAATAAAGTAACATTTTTAAATGGTTACTGAAAAACATGGCATTCTCCTTTGCTTTAAATTCCAAGCTGCTCTGAAGTACAATATTTGCTTCCTGTCATGCTGAATATGTCTAATTTATTTGTTGTACCACTGCCATTGAAGCTCAATATCTTGGATCTTCCTGAAACAAAAGGTTACGTTGGTGTCAATAACTTGTTTCTGCTGTCTGACGTAGATAAAATCAGATTTACCATTAACAGATATGCAACTCCTTGGCAAGCTGCAATGGGATTGAAAAAGATGAATCACAAAAGTAGCTCAGGGAAGTTAAGTGGAGGTTAAACGAGCTCCTCCTTGCAGTGTCTGGTAACCTGATTCTGATTGTGAACCACTACCTGATTCATGATATTAATAGCTATATAGTCGTCAGCCAATGTTCTACAGTGGTCGGTTATGTTGATCAAAAGAATAACTTATTTTTCAGGCTCTCCATGCACATTGAAAATTGACCTTAGAATTGTAAAGAAAAAAGCAAATAAAAAACATTAAGTCTTTCCTTTCTCCCAGAAAGCCTATTTCACAGTAAAGAAAAAAAATGCTTTCATCTTAGTTAAGCTTGATTATACTTTCAGCATACGGGTTAGCTTACTTTTGAAAGCAGGCTAATGTATTCCACTGTTTGTGATTGAATACAGAAACTCTCAATTTCCCAGCCATATTTCTCCTTGCTTCTTTTAGATTAGTATGAATCTAGCCTTCCAAAACGTCTATAGTTTCTGCAGTGTTCCCAACTAACGATGCAGAAGCCTCACTCCAAAAGATAACAAATAAAAAAATAAACAAATAAATACCTGGAGTCATTCCCTCTCTCCTTATTTCACAGTCAGCCTTTCCTAGCATGAGCTATAGTATTTTTCTTCAGTCATGGAAATTTCTTCAAGAGTTTATCTTTTCTTTCACTCAGGTACTGTAGTCTCATTCTAAAATCTAAATTGAGCCTAAAATGCTGCTGCAGATCCAAGCAAGTGATTCTACTTTTTACTTCAATGCATAGAATTTATTCTAAAATATAAGTAAAGAAACTTTTCTTCATATCAAACTTCTTACATTTATAATAAACTCTATTAATAAAGTTAATGCTCAGAAAGTCTAGTTTACTCTGTTCCAACTAAAAATTATTAAAAACAAGCAACCAACCAACCTCCTGATAGAGCTTAGTGGATACTCCAACTTAATCTTATTACAATAAAAACGTTAACTCTTTTCGATTACTTTAGACCAAGCATCTTAGAAGAATTTGAGATATCTATGTAAAGTTCACATAAAATGTTGAGTGGGTATTTGTGTATAAATTTCTGGCATTTAAGGGAGAAATCTGTGCTGAATATAGAAATTGGATAGTTTTCTGCTTACATGGTATTTTGAAAGTCATAAGACTAGAATGTGTAACCAATGAGTGACTATAGACTGAAAAGGAGTACAAGACACAAGATTTGGACATCTGATCAATAAGGATTTATTATAGCCTTATCAGTAGATAAATAATTGTCTGATTACCTAATCAATTTGTATTAAATATTAAATATTTAAGATGGTATGCTATAACCTAGCTAATTTCCCTCAAAAATAAATAATGTATTATTTTGCCAGATAGAAAATGACTCAACAGAAAATATAAAGGTGATTATGAGATGGAGAATAATATTTTGTGGTATGGACAAATGAGATTAATTCACTTGAATGCTTTGTCATTGTCTCCAGTGATCCCTATGTTGGCATTTAGCATTGTATACAGCTGATTAGTATGTCCTCCTCTGTATACTTTATTTATATGATGTCCAACATATCAAAGTCTCATGGCTATGCTCCTACAAACATATCCTTCTTCTGCCTTTTTCTTCCTCTTATCTTTTCTTCAATCTCTTAAGCTTTGAGAATCCAAAGTGCAGTCTTTGGATCTCTACACTCACTCAACTCTTTTGGTCATCTTTTCAAGTCTCATGGCTTTACATATGTCATCTAAACTCAAAACTATGCAATTAAGATTTTTGGCCCACATTTTTTCCCTAAGTGCCAAACCTGTATATCTAAATACTATTCACATCTTTACTTGAGCTTTAAATAGACATCTCAACAGTAACATCTAAACTTCCCCCAAAATACCAAATCTTCCCTGTCTCAGCTGATGGTAATTTCATCTTTCAACCTACTCAAAACCAATGTATTTTAATCACCCTCAATGATTGTTTTTCTCTTATATACTACATTCTTCTGCCAGAAATTTTCCCTTTTTCCCTTCAGAATAATGCCTGAATCTTGATAGTTTTTTCGTCTTTACTGCTGCAATCCTGTTCCAAATTGTAAGCATTTCTAACCAAGTTTCTAGTGCTACTCTCAAGACTAGATCTACAAATTCCAAAGTTGTCCTTCTGTCTCTTCTTTTTACCCCCCTTCTCCACCCCTGAAAACTCAAACGGTAGTGTATGTTCAATCTAGCAGCTAGAGCAATCCTTTCAAAATATAACTTACTTCTCTACACAAACATTACCTCTTCAATTAGGGTAACCATTTATTTAAATATGCAAGTAGTGTCCTCAAGCATTTTGAATTGTTTTTACCCCAATATAGTTTTTCTATAACAATTATCTTCTAATATAACATATAATATATTTATATATTGCCTATACTATTTATTGTGTCTTTACTCAGTAAAATTTAAGCTCCAAATATACAGCTATTTTTTATTAGTTTACGTATCATATAATAAATACTTATCTACTCTTTGTTGAATGAATAAACGAATTAACCACACAATTCACATTTTTAAGGATGTTCAGTTTCATTTTGGGAGTCCATCTGCTAACCATTAGTCTAACATTTTATCAAACTAACCTACATTGGCCATTTTCTACTGAATAAGCAATGAAGTAGGCATCTTAACACAAAAGATTTAGTCAAACTAGTTCTCAGGAAGTAACAATGGACCACAAAAATCCTAATCTAATAATGACAGATTGTAGGGGATGATGAGAAAAATTTCTGGATGAAGTTACACAGAAAGTTTACATATGTAAACTTTCAAAATTATTGTCAAGTGAATATTTCTCTAAATGGCTGGGTGGATTAAGCATTAGAGTAAATGTACTGAATGCTCTTTAGCAGTAACATGAAAGGGTAAACACAATTCTCAGATAATTATATGAGGCAATACATTCAATCAATGGTATTATTTACTTATTTTTATTTTAGTTATTTATTTTTTGAGAATAAAAAAAAATATATAGCTCTGTTGCCCAGGCTGGAGTGCAATGGCACCATCTCAGCTCACTGCACCCAATATCTCCCAGGTTCAAGTGATTCTCGTGCCTCAGCTTCCCAAGTGGCTGGTATTACAGGCATGTACCACCATGCCTGGCTGATGTTTAGTAGAGACAGAGTTTTGCCATGTTGTCCAGGCTGGTCTCAAACTCCTTGCCTCAAGTCATCTGCCCACCTTGGCTTCCCAAAGTGCTTCCCAAGGTTGAGCCACCGTGACTGGCCAATGGTATTAGTTATAACATTTTTTTTTTTTTTTTGAAACAGGGTCTCGCTCTGTCACCAAGGCTGGAGTGCAGTGATGCAATCTCAGCTCACTGAAACCTCCACCTCCTGGGTTCAAGCTATTCTCCTGCCTCAGCCTCCTCAGTAGCTGAGACTACAGGCTCAGGCCATCGAGCCCGGTTAATTTTTGTATTTTTAGTAGAAACGGGGTTTCACCATATTGGCCGTGTTTGGGCAGGCTGGTCTTGAACTCCTGACCTCAGGCGATCTACCTGCCTTGGCCTCCCAAAGTGCAAGGATTACAAGCATGAGTCACTGATCCTGGCCTATATTATTTTCATTAAACAAAAAATACAATTCTAAGCACTGCCCCAGCCCAGCCATCTGAATGGACCCCTCCTCTCAGCAAAGGGCATCCCAAAATTAACCTGTAGAACCTAGTTCAGGGAAGGGGGAGTCAGACATGCCATATTATGCCTTCCTTCTTGTTGGAATTCAGGAAAAGCTGATCAGCATTAACATCAACATAGACCTTAAGACTTATAGAACAGACCCTTTAAATCTGATAAGAAATATTTACAGTCTATTGTCTCTGAAGCTTGCTACCTGGAGGCATCATTTGCATGATAAAACCTTGGTCTCCACAAGCTCTTATTGTAACCCTGACATTCCTTTCTATTGATTCTAGGTCTTTAGACAAGAACTTAACTCTCTCAACCAATTGCCAATCAGAAAATCTATTAATCTACCTATGACGTGGAAGCCCCTCCTACCTCCCCACCCCCTACCCAACCAACCCCCAACTTCCAGTTGTCCTGCTTTTCCAGACTGAACCAATATACATCTTACGTATATTGATTGATGTCTTATGTCTCCCTAAAACGTATAAAACCAAGTTATAGTCCAAACACCTTGGGCATATATTCTCAGGATTTCCTGAGGGCTGTGTTATGGGTCACTCATATTTAGCTCAGAATATATCTCTATAATAATAATAATAAATAAATGATAAATTATAAATAATAAATTATAAATTATACATTAATGATAAATATTTTACAGAGTTTGACTCTTCAGCAATAAGGTACTAATCATGAAAAGATACTAAATATTTGACTAATATTACTCTCTTCTTGTTTAAAATATGATTCTCTGGTAACAATAAAGCAAATTTTTCAAAAACATTTAAATATTATATATGAATTTAATTTTATTCAACTTTAGCGTGGCTATTAAAACAAAATTTTATTTTGATGCATAAACTTACAAAGTATATTAAATCCTATTTATGACTTATTGTGCATGATTTATATTTGACTTGTAAAAAAGTTATTTTCAAATTGATTATTATAAAATGAAAACAAAATACATATTCAAGAATAAGTTCTAAATTTGTGATAGTCATATTATCCTGTCTAGATGCAATAAATTGAGGTTGTTAATAAACATTGAAAATACAGGGAGTTTATCTAAATTAAAATAATTTGAATACTATAACACTGTAGTCAACTATTTAACAATAAAAATGCTAATGTTGATAGTTATATGTTTATGCAAATAAAATAAATGTTGATCCTGTTACTCAAGACATTTTGCTACTTTTACTTTTTTTATTTTTTAAATTCATATGAATGTAAGTTGTACAAGTGCAGTTTTGTTACTTAGATATATTGCATAGCGGTGAAGCCTAGGCTTTTAGTGTAACCATCACCTGAATAATTTACATTGTACCCATTAGGTAATTTCACATTTCTCATCCATCCTCCTTTACCCCACAACCTTACTAATCTACAATGTCTATTATTCCATAGCTTATATCCATGTGTGCCCATTATTTAGCTGCCACTTACAAGTGAGAACATGTGGTATTTGACTTTCTGTTTCTGTATTATTTCACTGAAAACAATGGCCTCTCATTATTGGATATCTACCCAAAGGAAATGAAATCATTATGTAGATATGCTACTTTAAAGAAGCATAGTACGTACTTGGCTCTATCATAAAGTATATTTAAATTAAAACGATCAGGATAGTCCATATAATATATGAAAGTGTTCTTTAAATAACTTACTTTACTTCTGCATGTTCAAAGTTGTTTGAGATGTAACTCTGCCTTGAAGCATCTAATAAAATAGTAAACGCAAATACGAAAACAACAGCTGCCATATGAGCAGCAACAACAGCAACTCTGTAAATAAAACCCTATCATCGAGGTCTGAATAAAGCGGGATAGAAAAAATTAGTAGATAAGCGAAGCATTTTGAAGTTGACAATTAAGCATTTTGAAGTTGACAATTGATCATTTCAAAGACCTTATGATGTCCTAACTGTATATTATATGCCAAAGCTAGCATTAAATTTGACAAATGTTTACATATTAACCTGAAAAATAATTACTAAAGAGGAAAGAAGTATCATATTTGTATTAGTCCATTTTCATGCTGCTGTTAATTTCTTTATACATTATGGAGACTGAGTAATTTGTAAAGAAGAAGAGGTTTAATGGACTCACAGTTCCACTGGCTGAGGAGGCCTCACAATCGTGGTAGAAGGCAAAAGGCACGTCTTACGTTGTGACAGACTATAGAGAAAGAAAAACAAGCTAAAGGAGAAACCCCTGTCCAAAACCAACAGATCTCATGAGACTTATTCGCCATCATGAGAACACTATAACGGAAACTACTTCCACGATTCAGTTATCTTCCACTGGATCCCTCCCACAATATGTGGGATTTATGGGAGTTACAATTCAAGATAAGATTTAGGTGGGGACACAGCCACACCGTAACAATATTGGCAAATGACTACCTGATTATCTCATGTAAAAATACTACTAAGCATAGATACATACAAAATATGATTTTGCTAAATGGAAGTTAACTAAAATCAAGTCAGGATTAAAAGCAAGGAAAAAGACAAATTATTAGTAGAAGTATTAAAAAATGATGGAATCAACTAAAGTATACCTAACTTTTATAAACTTGAAAGAGTAAAATGCAATTAACCAAGACAATAAATTTGGAAATGTACAAAATTTGAAAACTGGTTAACACACTTTATTATTATAAAACATGAGACTAAAAATCAAACACTGTTTTTGATTACTCGTCAAATGATATATTCTGTAAATAATGGTTCTCATAGTTACAAATGAATGAGATAGGGTTTTTATATAGGCACTGCAGTTTTCTTGCTATATTTATAGATAACTAATGTTATTTCCTTATACTTAATTTTTTTCAACCATAAATTCGGGTAATGATAGTACTTATCCAAAAAGTGTGAACATTCAACTACCCAACACATCCAAAGTACTTTGAATACAATAGTGCTATAACAGCGGGGTGTGGTGGTTCAGGCCTGTAATCCCAGCACTTTGGGAGGCCTAGGTCGGCAGATCACAAGGTCAGGAGCTCGAGACAAGCCCGACCAACATGGTGAAACACGTCTCTACGAAAAATACAGAAATTAGCCAGGTGTGGTGGCATGCACCTGTAATCCCAGCTACTCAGGAGGCTGAGGCAGAAGAATTGCTTGAACCCAGGAGGCAGATGTTGCAGTGAGCCGAGATTGTGCCCCTGCACTCCAACCTGGGTGACAGAGCGAGACTCTGTCTCAAAAAACAAAACAAAAAAAAAGTGCAGTAACAAAAATCTTAATGTAGTTTTGGAAAAACTATTTAATTTTACCTAGATGGATCAAAGTTTGGACAAGCATATTTTTATATAATTATGACTAATTTGTTAAATCTTAAAATATCTATGTTCAGATCAAAATGCATGGAAAGATGATGATACATTTTAAAACAATATTTTAAAGAAAAGAGCGTAGACAACGTGTGTGTGCATATACGTATACCTTAAGCTACACATGTGTATGTGTACACATATACATATATCTTAAGCTACACATTGTATGTGTGCATATACATATATCTTAAGCTACACATGTGGTTATATGTGTCTGTTGCTTTTTATGCTGAGTTCAGTCATATAAAAATTCTTTTAGAAGAAATATTTATGTTTTAGTCTCTAAATAAATTAGGCATTATAATACTTTAAAAAATGTTTTGTAATCTTCATGAACGTAAAAGCTACTAAAAGTAATTTTTTGTTTTAAACACTATATTAGTTTTATGTGTCTGCTCTAATATAATAAATAACTACAGACTTGATGGTGTAAAACAGCACACATTCTTTTACAGTTCCACAGATTAGAAGGCCAAAATCAGTTTCACTGGACCAAAATCAAAGTTCAGCAGAGCCACTTTCACTCCCTCTCTGGAGGCTTTGGGAGAAAGTCCCTTTGACATTTCTAGCTTCTTACGGCCACCTGAATTCTTTGGCTTGCAGCCCTTTCCTCCGACTTCTATGCCAGTAGCATAGCATCTTGCTGCAGTAGTCACATTGTCCTCTATCTTTGTAGTTAAAGCTGCTTATACCTCCCTCTCTAATGTTTGTGAATATATTTTGTGCCATGCAGCTAATAGAAGATAATCTCTCTATTTCAAAATCCTTAATTTAATCACATATGCAAAGTCTTTTTTGCTGTACAAAGTAATATGCACATGTTCTATAGATTAGAATCTGGTTATGGAGGGGTGGGCATTATTCAGCACACCACGAAAGGCAAATTTGAAACCATAAATATAACATTCTTAATTTTGGTTAATTATTATTTTACTGGACCTTGTATGTGGCAAAGATGATGATTATCTTTAATTAATTAATTAATTTATTTATGTATTTATTTTATATTATACTTAAAGTTTTAGGGTACATGTGCACAATGTGCAGGTTAGTTACATATGTATACATGTGCCATGCTGGTGTGCTGCACCCACTAACTCGTCATCTAGCATTAGGTATATCTCCCAGTGCTATCCCTCCCCCCTCCCCCCACCCCACAACAGTCCCCAGAATGTGATGTTCCCCTTCCTGTGTCCATGTGTTCTCATTGTTCAATTCCCACCTATAAGTGAGAATATGCGGTGTTTGGTTTTTTGTTCTTGCAATAGTTTACTGAGAATGATGATTTCCAGTTTCATCCACGTCCCTACGAAGGACATGAACTCATCATTTGTTATGGCTGCATAGTATTCCATGGTGTATATGTGCCACATTTTCTTAACCCAGTCTATCATTGTTGGACATTTGGGTTGGTTCCAAGTCTTTGCTATTGTGAATAGCGCCGCAATAAACATACATGTGCATGTGTCTTTATAGCAGCATGATTTATAGTCCTTTGGGTATATACCCAGTAATGGGATGGCTGGGTCAAATGGTATTTCTAATTCTAGATCCCTGAGGAATCACCACACTGACTTCCACAATGGTTGAACTAGTTTACAGTCCCAGCAACAGTGTAAAAGTGTTCCTATTGCTCCACATCCTCTCCAGCACCTGTTGTTTCCTGACTTTTTAATGATTGCCATTCTAACTGGTGTGAGATGGTATCTCATTGTGGTTTTGATTTGCATTTCTCTGATGGCCAGTGATGGTGAGCATTTTTTCATGTGTTTTTTGGCTGCATAAATGTCTTCTTTTGAGAAGTGTCTGTTCATGTCCTTCACCCACTTTTTCATGGGGTTGTTTGTTTTTTTCTTGTAAATTTGTTTGAGTTTCTTGTAGATTCTGGATATTAGCCCTTTGTCAGATGAGTAGGTTGTGAAAATTTTCTCCCATTTTGTAGGTTGCCTGTTCACTCTGATGGTAGTTTCTTTTGCTGTGCGGAAGCTCTTTAGTTTAATTTGATCCCATTTGTCAATTTTGGCTTTTATTACCATTGCTTTTGGTGTTTTAGACATGAAGTCCTTGCCCATGCCTAGGTCCTGAATGGTAATGCCTAGGTTTTCTTCTACGGTTTTTATGGTTTTAGGTCTAACGTTTAAGTCTTTAATCCATCTTGAATTGATTTTTGTATAAGGTGTAAGGAAGGGATTCAGTTTCAGCTTTCTACATATGGCTAGCCAGTTTTCCCAGCACCATTTATTAAATAGGGAATCCTTTCCCCAATGCTTGTTTTTCTCAGGTTTGTCAAAGATCAGATAGTTGTAGATATGTGGCATTATTTCTGAGGGCTCTGTTCTGTTCCATTGAGCTATATCTCTGTTTTGGTACCAGTACCATGCTGTTTTGGTTACTGTAGCCTTCTAGTATAGTTTGAAGTCAGGTAGTGAGATGCCTCCAGGATTATTCTTTTGGCTTAAGATTGACTTGGTGATGCGGGCTCTTTTTTGGTTCCATATGAACTTTAAAGTAGTTTTTTCCAATTCTGTGAAGAAAGTCATTGGTAGCTTGATGGGGATGGCATTGAATCTGTAAATTACCTTGGGCAGTATGGCCATTGTCACAATATTGATTCTTCCTACCCATGAGCATGGAATGTTCTTCCATTTGTTTGTATCCTCTTTTATTTCCTTGAGCAGTGGTTTGTAGTTCTCCTTGAAGAGGTCCTTCACATCCCTTGTAAGTTGGATTCCTAGGTATTTTATTCTCTTTGAAGCAATCGTGAATGGGAGTTCACTCATGATTTGGTGCTCTGTTTGTCTGTTGTTGGTGTATAAGAATGCTTGTGATTTTTGTACATTGATTTTGTATCCTGAGACTTTGCTGAAGTTGCTTATCAGCTTAAGGAGATTTTGGGCTGAGACAATGGGGTTTTCTAGATATACAATCATGTCATCTGCAAACAGGGACAATTTGACTTCCTCTTTTCCTAATTGAATACCCTTTATTTCCTTCTCCTGCCTAATTGCCCTGGCCAGAACTTCCAACACTATGTTGAATAGGAGTGGTGAGAGAGGGCATCCCTGTCTTGTGCCAGTTTTCAAAGGCAATGCTTCCAGTTTTTGCCCATTCAGTATGATATTGGCTGTGGGTTTGTCATAGATAGCTCTTATTATTTTGAGATACGTCCCATCAATACCTAATTTATTGAGAGTTTTTAGCATGCAGCGTTGTTGAATTTTGTCAAAGGCCTTTTCTGCATCTATTGAGATAATCATGTGGTTATTGTCCTTGGTTCTGTTTATATGCTGGATTATATTTATTGATTTGCGTATATTGAACCAGCCTTGCATCCCAGGGATGAAGCCCACTTGATCATGGTGGACAAGCTTTTCGATGTGCTGCTGGATTTGGTTTGCCAGTATTTTATTGAGGATTTTTGCATCAATGTTCATCAAGGACATTGGTCGAAAATTCTCTTTTTTGGTTGTGTCTCTGCCCGGCTTTGGTATCAAGATGATGCTGGCCTCATAAAATGAGTTAGGGAGGATTCCCTCTTTTTCTATTGATTGGAATAGTTTCAGAAGGAATGGTACCAGTTCCTCCTTGTACCTCTGGTAGAATTCGGCTGTGAATCCATCTGGTCCTGGACTCTTTTTGGTTGGTAAGCTATTGATTATTGCCACAATTTCAGATCCTGTTATCAGTCTATTCAGAGATTCAACTTCTTCCTGGTTTAGTCTTGGGAGAGTGTATGTGTCGAGGAATTTATCCATTTCTTCTAGATTTTCTAGTTTATTTGCATAGAGGTGTTTGTAGTATTCTCTGATGGTAGTTTGTATTTCTGTGGGATCGGTGGTGATATCCCCTTTATCATTTTTTATTGCGTCTATTTGATTCTTCTCTCTTTTTTTCTTTATTAGTCTTGCTAGTGGTTTATCAATTTTTTTGATCCTTTCAAAAAACCAGCTCCTGGATTCATTAATTTTTTGAAGGGTTTTTTGTGTCTCTATTTCCTTCAGTTCTGCTCTGATTTTATTTTTTGCCTTCTGCTAGCTTTTGAATGTGTTTGCTCTTGCTTTTCTAGTTCTTTTAATTGTGATGTTAGGTTGTCAATTTTGGATCTTTCCTGCTTTCTCTTGTGGGCATTCAGTGCTATAAATTTCCCTCTACACACTGCTTTGAATGCGTCCCAGAGATTCTGGTATGTTGTGTCTTTGTTCTCACTGGTTTCAAAGAACATCTTTATTTCTGCCTTCATTTCGTTATGTACCCAGTAGTCATTCAGGAGCAAGTTGTTCAGTTTCCATGTAGTTGAGCAGTTTTGAGTGAGTTTCTTAATCCTGAGTTCTAGTTTGATTGCACTGTGGTCTGAGAGATAGTTTGTTATAATTTCTGTTCTTTCACATTTGCTGAGGAGAGCTTTACTTCCAACTGTGTGGTCAATTTTGGAATAGGTGTGGTGTGGTGCTGAAAAAAATGTATATTCTGTTGATTTGGGGTGGAGAGTTCTGTAGATGTCTATTAGGTCCGCTTGGTGTAGAGCTGAGTTCAATTCCTGGGTATCCTTGTTGACTTTCTGTCTCGTTGATCTGTCTAATGTTGACAGTGGGGTGTTAAAGTCTCCCATTATTAATGTGTGGGAGTCTAAGTCTCTTTGTAGGTCACTCAGGACTTGCTTTATGAGTCTGGGTGCTCCTGTATTGGGTGCATATATATTTAGTATAGTTAGCTCTTCTTGTTGAATTGATCCCTTTACCATTATGTAATGGCCTTCTTTGTCTCTTTTGATCTTTGTTGGTTTAAAGTCTGTTTTATCAGAGACTAGGATTGCAACCCCTGCTTTTTTTTGTTTTCCATTTGCTTGGTAGATCTTCCTCCCTCCTTTTATTTTGAGCCTATGTGTGTCTCTGCACATGAGATGGGGTTCCTGAATACAGCACACTGATGGGTCTTGACTCTTTATCCAATTTGCCAGTCTGTGTCTTTTAATTAGAGCATTTAGTCCATTTACATTTTAAGTTAATACTGTTATGTGTGAATTTGATCCTGTCATTATGATGTTAGCTGGTTATGTTGCTCGTTAGTTGATGCAGTTTCTTCCTAATGTCGATGGTCTTTACATTTTGGCATGATTTTGCAGGGGCTGGTACTGGTTGTTCCTTTCCATGTTTAGCGCTTCCTTCAGGAGCTCTTTTAGGGCAGGCCTGGTGGTGACAAAATCTCTCAGCATTTGCTTGTCTGTAAAGTATTTTATTTCTCCTTCACTTGTGAAGCTTAGTTTGGCTGGATATGAAATTCTCGGTTGAAAAATTCTTTTCTTTAAGAATGTTGAATATTGGCCCCCACTCTCTTCTGGCTTGTAGAGTTTCTGCCGAGAGATCCGCTGTTAGTCTGATGGGCTTCCCTTTGAGGGTAACCCGACCTTTCTCTCTGGCTGCCTTTAACATTTTTTCCTTCATTTCAACTTTGGTGAATCTGACAATTATGTGTCTTGGAGTTGCTCTTCTCGAGGAGTATCTTTGTGGCATTCTCTGTATTTCCTGAATCTGAATGTTGGCCTGCCTTGCTAGACTGGGGAAGTTCTCCTGGACAATATCCTGCAGAGTGTTTTCCAACTTGGTTCCATTCTCCCTGTCACTTTCAGGTACACCAATCAGACGTAGATTTGGTCTTTTCACATGGTCGCATATTTCTTGGAGGCTTTGCTCATTTCTTTTTGTTCTTTTTTCTCTAAACTTCCCTTCTCGCTTCATTTCATTCATTTCATCTTCCATCGCTGATACCCTTTCTTTGAGTTGATCGCATCGGCTCCTGAGGCTTCTGCATTCTTCACGTAGTTCTCGAGCCTTGGTTTTCAGTTGCATCAGCTCCTTTAAGTACTTCTCTGTATTGGTTATTCTAGTTATACATTCTTCTAATTTTTCTTCAAAGTTTTCAACTTCTTTGCCTTTGGTTTGAATGTCCTCCTGTAGCTCGGAGTAATTTGATCGTCTAAAGCCTTCTTCTCTCAGCTCGTCAAAGTCATTCTCCGTCCAGCTTTGTTCCGCTGCTGGTGAGGAACTGTGTTCCTTTGGAGGAGGAGAGGCGCTCTACTTTTTAGAGTTTCCAGTTTTTCTGCGCTGTTTTTTCCCCATCTTTGTGGTTTTATCTTCTTTTGGTCTTTGATGATGGTGATGTACAGATGGGTTTTTGGTGTGGATGTTCTTTCTGTTTGTTAGTTTTCCTTCTAACAGACAGGACCCTCAGCTGCAGGTCTGTTGGAGTACCCGGCCGTGTGAAGTGTCAGTCTGCCCCTGCTGGGGGGTGCCTCCCAGTTAGGCTGCTCGGGGGTCAGGGGTCAGGGACCCACTTGAGGAGGCAGTCTGCCTGTTCTCAGGTCTCCAGCTGTGTGCTGGGAGAACCACTGCTCTCTTCAAAGCTGTCAGACAGGGACATTTAAGTCTGCAGAGGTTACTGCTGTCTTTTTGTTTGTCTGTACCCTGCCCCCAGAGGTGGAGCCTACAGAGGCAGGCAGGCCTCCTTGAGCTGTTGTGGACTCCACCCAGTTCGAGCTTCCCGGCTGCTTTGTTTACCTAAGCAAGCCTGGGCAATGGCTGGCACCCCTCCCCCAGCCTCGCTGCTGCCTTGCAGTTTGATCTCAGACTGCTGTGCTAGCAATCAGTGAGACTCCGTGGTCCTAGGACCCTCTGAGCCAGGTGCGGGATATAATCTCCTGGTGCGCCATTTTTTAAGCCTGTCAATATAGCGCAGTATTTGGGTGGGAGTGACCCGATTTTCCAAGTGCTGTCTGTCACTCCTTTCTTTGACTAGGAAAGGGAACTCCCTGACCCCCTGCACTTCCTGAGTAAGGCAATGCCTCGCCCTGCTTCTGCTGGCGCACGGTGCGTGCACCCACTGACCTGCACCCACTGTCTGGCACTCCCTAGTGAGATGAACCTGGTACCTCAGATGGAAATGCAGAAATCACCCATCTTCTGTGTCGCTCATGCTGGGAGCTGTAGACCGGAGCTGTTCCTATTCGGCCATCTTGGCTCCTCCCCCCAATTATCTTTAATTTAATATAATATTTTTCTTTGATTTTGTTTTACTATCTTGTGTTCTTGGTAAAATATCCTAACTAAAATTTATAATTGTATTGCCATTATTACCTCAAATGAAATCTAAAATGCCATAAGATTTACTTAAATATATACTTTTTTCAAAAATTATGATTTATTATGTTAAATAAAATATTCAAAATGGCTGACCATAAACCAATACACAATGACTCACACAGGTGTAAGTTTGCTAAGTCTACAGTTTTCAATAATTAAACGAATGGGTATTTTTCCCTTCTTTTTTTTTCTTTCAAGTTACCTGCTTTCAAGTACGTACAGGGATTGGATATTACATCCATAGATATTTTTAGCTTGTATCTTCATCTTTCAGAAAGTCTGGTTTGCTCTAGGGGAAAAGAAATATCCAATTATAAAACCATCTGGTATTTTGATTTTTAGTTGTAAATTTAAGATTTCAACTCTCTACCTCGGCTTGCAGTTAAGCAAATGAAAGAAAACACAGGTTTTTGATTGAGCTACAGACTTTTTATTGTTCCTTTCAATAAAATGCCAGAAAAAAAAAAAAGAAAGAAACAGCAAACATCTGCCTATGCCAGCTGCTAAAATGTAAAAGAGGTAATGGAAAGTCTATGTATAGATATCTTTTGTTTTACCAGTGGAGTTGTGGCATCTTGAACAGCTTTCTTCAGGATGCATGGGCATCACTAAATGAGAAAATTAAAGATAGGAAATGAGAGTAGGGCTGTCTACCCTATATTAACACTTGTATTTGAAAGTTTCCAATGTATATATGTAGTATTATGAAAGTGTCTCTACTGGGTTTTATAATTTACATTTTAAATGTAGAAAAATAGAAAATTAAATGAGAGATTCATATTATTCTAATCTTCTCATTATCATAATTCATGCTCATTTGGTAAGAATGCATTGACAATGTAATTCTCTTTATGCCATAATTTTTGAGGGATGATCACAGAGCACTGGGCGGTGATAATCCAATATTTGGTTGAATTATTTTAAAAGTTTCTGTTTCATTTTTTTCACAGATGAAAATAATCACAATTTTCAAACTATTAAAAATCATAAAATGTATTATTGTTTGAATACATGGCAAAACTAAGATTGCATAATTCAGCTCACTGGTCAAGGGGTGGCACCTACAAGTCAAATGTATGTGTTTTTTCTTCTGTAGCAGAGAAGTTGTTCCTTACTACACGATATAAACATTAAAAGAAAATTACCTTAAGGCAAATATTCCTTTTATTTAAAAATTACTTGTAGAGAAATTTTTATTGTTTTTAAAAGAGAGTGTTAAAATAATTTCTGTTATTTTAAAGTTTCAAAATATCTTACTTCCTGTTACATAGGGAAATTTTATTACAAGGAAGAAAGGTTTCTGGTCCCAATGGTTCCGGATCTTTCTAAGGATGAATTATGCTTAGAAGTGTCTCTGAACATGAGAAATGATGCCTAGTTATGTAGAATCAAGAATATTTGGACAGCCTCGGCATGGTGGCTCATGCCTATAATTCCAGCACTTTGGGAGGCTGAGGCAGGAGGATCACTTAAAGTCAGGAATTCAAGACTAGTCTGGGTAATATAGTGGGACATCATCTCCACAAAAATAAAAAATAAAAATTTAACCTGGCATAGTGGTGTGTACCTGTGGTCCCAGCTACTTGGGAGGCTGAGGTTGGAGGATCACTTGAGCCTGGGAGGTAGAGGCTGCAGTGAACTGTGACCATGCCATTCCACTTTAGCCTGATGACAGAGTAAGAACCTGTCTCAAAAAAGAAAAAAAAATTAGGAGATAAAACCCACTGAACTAAGGTAATTATTGAAGGATGGCTTTTACTTAAGTAATGTTGCAAAATATCTCCCTTCCTAATTCAATGATTGTAACCTGAGGAAAAGACTCAGTCATTTCAGTTGAATACCAGAACTAAATTTAGAACATAATTTTCTCTGCAAAAGTGTCATCTTAGATTTTCCCTCGTTACATAAAGTTATAAAATATGTAACGAAAGAATAGCAATCTTTTGCCCCAGAGTAGTCAGATATAATAAACAGAAAATCACAATCAAGGAAATGTCTCTAAAATAAAAAGATAAAAATCAGCAAACCTATCAAAGATACTGCAAGTAAATAAGAGGTAACAATACCAAAAAATAAGAAAAATTTTATTCTCTTCTCAGAAATATACATATTAAAAAAACAAGAAAAAATTTTTATATTTGGAATTATTATTTAAACTTTCAACTGAATGGAGAATATACTAGGGTTATGGAACTGGAAACAGGATGATAAATATCCAGATAATTTGTCTAAAAACAGAATACTACTGAGCACAAAATTATACTGGAGGCAGTAAAAATATTTCAAGTACCCAGTAAGGTAAAAGCCAAATGTGAGAACTGATTGTATGAGCAAAACCAAAACAAACCCCGCTAAAGTATGAAAACAGAAAGATAGAGATGTATAATAAAAGGATACACAGAGACAGACTTTGCAGATATATTTCTTAAGAGGGTTTATCCAATCCTTCCTCATAACTCTCAGTATTTTCTACAAAAATACAGAATAATAAAAAGAACAAATACATACTGACTCAGCATAACCTAAGGTCATAGAATGCCCAAATATAGAAGTAACTGAAAGTAAATAAAGGAAATAGCACCAGATCCTGGTATATCCACCCAACCACAAGTATTCATTGTGAACAAAAGTACTTAAAAAAATAAAGCAAGGAAGACAGAAATGGGGAGCTAATGACAGATCACAGAATCACTAGGTCCACTGCGAGATTAAAAATATTAAAAATGCATATGGCTATGTAAGAGCCTGGACTGTATGAAAAGAGCTTCCATGTAAATGTGATTTGAAGTTTGAGGCAGAGAAAAAAAAAAAAAAAGACAAGGGAGGCCTCCTCTGGCAATTTGATGGTTAATGGGGAAGAGAAGCAAAAAGGACACTTTAGGTGTTCTACAAGACAAACAAGAAAGGAAAAATGCTGACACATAACCTCTCTCCCCACTTGAAAAAAAACAAAACATAACCCACAATCTAGTCCAAGAGTTTAGACTTTGCAACAATGTAAGAAGAGGGTGTCCTTGAACTAAAAATATTGTAAACTACCGAGAAATTACAATATTAATTTTTAACTCAATATGTCTTTTAAAAGTTATCAATAAAAATCAGAAAATCATTTAAAGACCCATCAACCAATGAGAGTCTTTCCCATTCCCCCAAACATCAAGTAAAAGAAAATTGTAAAATTATACCCTAAGCATTTTGGGTATTTGAAAACTACCCTGAAATTTGAATTAATAAATAGAAAATAAATCAATAAAAAATGAAGATATAAAGAGTAGTTGAGAAAAATAAGAAACATAAAAAAGAAATATTTAATCTGCAAGAAAGCAGGTAGAAATTTAAAGTGAGATAAAGAATGAAGCATTAATTATAGAACAGAACATCTCGATAATGGAAAATGAACAAAGAAGAAATAATTTTCGTATAACTGGGGTCTCTGAAGAAGAAAAACAAACAATGGATATCACTAGAATGTAAAACTGTACCCAAGAACACTTTTCAAAAAAAAAGAAAACCTAAGCCTACATCTTAAAAGGACCCATCAGATAGACAGGCAAATTAAATTCAATCAACTCTGAAGCACAGCCTAGTACAAGTATTTGAATACAATTATAAAGAAAAGTATCCTATTTTTCTTTTTCTTGGTGTTCTCGATAAGTTTTCTCAGGGGTTGGCATGGTGATGAGGATAATTTACTAAGGCAAAAGAATCAGAATGGCATCAGAGATTTCAAATCATCACGTAAAACAAGACCACAATGGATCAATATTTCAAAAAAACGTAAATAAAAGATTTAAAATATGAGTTAAGATGTCTTTTTTTATCCCAAATCTCCTTTAATTATCATACTATAGAACATTTTTGGACATGCATGAACATACAGTGTTCTATATACCCTTCCACAGGAACTATTAGAGGTTAAGCATCATTCAGCCAAAAATGACTAGACAAACTTCAATGAGAGGACTGATGTGAACATTTAAATATATATCAAGATAGATCTAAGGTTAAAAATAAAAGAATAAAATTGGAAGAACAATGTATCAACGTTATGCTATTCAAAACTAGAAATAATGCATGTAAACAATGGGAGAAGAAGGGAAAGTAAAAAAGACAATTGTAAAAGCACGTTATTGGATAGCAAATGTATGGGAAGTAAAGTACACAATTAAACTTGGCAAACCAGCAGATAAGAAGTTACATAAGAATATAGATGTCTAATGACATTTATACGTATAAATAGGCATTAAAACAAATATTAAAACCTTTCTAAATACAATAATTTTTTAAAAATACAGTAGTCACACAACATCATAGAGCCAATAACATGGCCAATGAAAATAATATAAAATATTATTAAGTAACAGAGCTAAGTTAATTACAGTTGATCCTTGAACAACATGGGAGGTAGAGGCAACAACCACTCATACAGTGAAAAATCTGTGTGTAACTTTTGCCCCCACTTCCCAAAACTCAACTACTAAGAGTTACTCTTGACTGGAAGCCTTTCTGATAACAAACAATACATTAACACACACTTTGTTATGTTGTTTGTTTATTGGTTTGTTTTGTAAAGTTCATTTTAGGTTCAAGGGTAATTGGTTCTTGTGCAGGTTTGTTATATAGGTAAATTGCATGTCATGGGGGTTTGGAGTACAGATTATTTCATCGCCAGGTAATAAGCATAGTACCCAACAGACAGTTTTTCAATCCCCTCCCTGCTCCCACCGTCCATCTTCAAGTACACATGTGTCTATGAATTAACACATGCTTTGTATGGTGTATGTATTTTATACTGTACTCATAATAAAACAAGTTTGAGAAAAAACTTAATATCATAAGAAAGAAAATATATTTACTCTTCATCAAGTGGAAGTGGGTCATTATAAAGATCTTCATCCTCATTGTCTTTATGTTGAGTAGGCTTAGGAGGAGGAAAAGGAGGAGTTGGTCTTGCTGTTGCTGTTTCAGTGGTGGCAGAGGTAGAAGAAAATCTGCATATAATTGAACCTATACAGTTCAAGTCTGTGTTGTTCAAGGGTCAACGGTATGTCAGTCATATTAATGAGCTTAACTTGCCTATTAAAAGAAAAAAAAGATTTTGTTTGTTTCATGAATCATGGCTGCAATATATTCTGTATTCGAAGAATATGTCTAAACTAAAGTGACTCTGAAAAGCTCAAACTAACGAAATTGACAAATGTACACCAGACATGCAAAAATAATAAGAAAATAGGTAAAAACTTTAGTGAAAAAAAGATACTGCCACACATTGTTAACATCTAAACAAACTAACATTATCAATTACTGGTCAGCATGCAGAGCAACAGTAAATTTTAAGTTAATAATAATTTAATAACATATTGTTTATTAATAATAATGTATTACTTATTTAATGGTGACAAGTGAATCATATTCACAAAAAAGGTTAACAATAGGAGAACCTCTAACAGTGGTGTAGTGAATAAAGGAACCCTATCTAATATGTTTGCCACTGTCCTGTAGATATACATATTTAATGTATGCAACTTGATGAACTTGGAAATAAGTATATTCCCATGAAACCATCACCAAAACATATGCCATAAACATATTTACCTCAAAAATGTCTTCGCACTCTATTTATTAGTATTTTTACTTTATGAGAAGAACACTTAACATGAAATACATCCTCAGCAAAATTTCAGGTATACAATATACTATTATTCTATAATATCTATATTAATTTACATCTATATTGCTATGGCGTTAACTACAGGCATGACACTGTACAGTAGATTCCTAGGACATATTCATCTTCTATAATTCAAACTTTGTATCCTTTGACTAATAACTCTCATTTTCTGCTCCCCCCAGCTTCTGGCAACAAATATTCCACTCTCCGCTTTTAGAAATTTGACTATTTGATATTCCTAATATGTGTGATATCATGTAATATTTGTATTTCCTGGGTCTGCCTGAGTTCACTTAGTATAATGTTCTTCAGGTTCATCCATATTATCAAATGATAGAATTTCCTTCTTTCTGAAGCTGAACAATATTGCATTTCATGTATATACCACATTTCGTTTATGCATTTATCCTTCAGTGGACATTTGGTAGCTTCCCTGTTTGGGCTGTTGTGAATAATGTGGCAGTAAATATGGATGTTTAAACATCTATTCAAGATCCCAATTTTAATTTCTTTGGATACATACCCACTAGTGGGATTGCTGGATTATGTGGTAGTTCTATTTTTAATGTTTTGAGGAACCTCCATACTGTTTTCCATAGTAACTATACCAATTACATTCCCACAAAAAGATTTCCTTTACTCTATCCTCACCAACAATTGTTATAATTTGTTTTTTCGTATTATTCATATTAACAGGGGAGAGACGATATCTCATCATGGTTTTGAATTCCATTTCCCTAAAATTAGTGATATTGAACAACTTTTCTTTTTTCTTTTTTTTTTTTTTTTTTGTTTGAGACAGAGTCTCATCCCATTGCCCATGCTGGAGTGCAATGGCCGAGGGCTCACTGCAACCTCTGCCTCCCGGGTTCAAGCGATTCTCATGCCTCAGCCTCCCGAGTAGCTGGGATTACAGGTGCCCGCCACTATGCCCAGCTAATTTCTGTGATTTTAGTAGAGATGGTGTTTCGCCATGTTGGTCAGGCTGGTCTCCAACTCCCGACCTCAAATGATCCACCCGCCTCGGCCTCCCAAAGTGCTGGGATTACAGGCGTTAGCCACTGTGCCTGGCCTGAGCACCTTTTCACATGTCCAATTGGCTGTATTGTATGTTTTCTTTTGAGAAATGTCTCTTCAGTTATTTTGCTCATTTTTAATCAGGTTATTATTTCTTTTGTTTTTTTATTTGTGTGAGTTACTTACATATTTTGGATATTAACCCTTTATCAAATATATAATTTGAAATATTTTCTCCCATTCTCTAGATTGCCTTTTCATTTTGTTGTTTTCTTTTTTGTGCAGAAGGATTTTTAATTTGATGTTATTGCACTTGTCTATTTTTGCTTTTACTACCTGTACTTTTGGTGTCATATCTAAGAAATCATCTCCATAGCCCAATGTCAGAAGGCTTGTCCCCTGTGTTTTATTCTAGGAGTTCCAAAGTTTCAGGTCTTCCATTTAAGTTCACTCTCACCATTTCTACTCAACATATTACTGGAAGTCCTAGACCAGACAATTACATCAGAAAAATAATTTTTAAAACATTCACATCAGAAAGGAAAAAGTTAGATTATCTCAGTTTGCAGAGTACATAAACTTATCTATGAAAAAATTTAAACTCTATCAAAAATGCCTGAATTAATAAACAAATTTTGCAAAGTTACAGGATAAAAAAGTCAACACACAAAAATCAGATGTGCTTTTTTAGACCAATCCAGGAAGGAAATTTTTAAAAATTAAGAATTTCAATGGGAAAGTTCCATTAAAATAGCATCAAAAACAATAAAATATTAGCGAATAAATATAACTACAAATGTGAAGGACTTATATGCTAAAAATTATTAAAAACTGATGAAAGAAATAAAGGAGACACACATAAATAGAAAGCAATCTTGTGTTCCAATATTGGAATGATAATATTGTTAAATTTTCTATTTTGCCATTTTTTTAAAGGAATTGAAAAAACAATCCTAAAATTTGTATGAAACCACAAAGACACTGAATGGTCAAAGCACTGCTGAGCAAGAAGAACAAAGCTGGAGTTATCACATTTTCTGATTTCAAAGTATATTTATAAAGCAACAATAATCAAAACAGTATGGTACTGGCATAATAACAAACATATAGACTAAGAGAACAGAAATAAACTCACTCTTATAAGCTACCGTGTATCAGAGACAAAATTTTGAGTCTATGCTTTTTCCCAGTTGAGGGAGAGATTATTTTTTAGCGAATGGCTGATCAGTCTTTGCTTGCAAAGCAGTTTCCATAGGGATATTTTATTTGCAATGGTGTTAGGAATAACTTATGGTAGCAGAAATATTAAGTTAACACAATAGTGTAAACTTGGGGATGTGAAATGAAATAGTATGCTTTTATATTATAAAATAGTAGTTTTTTAAAATTATATTTTCATTAATATGTCATTGTATGAATTAGCATGGGATTGTTCATTATTTTGTGGCATAGAGAAGAATAATTAAAATTAAAATGTGCATATTTTATTTTTATGTATTCATCTTCTTTCAGAAAATTATCATAATTTCATATGAAGTCAACAAAATAGCATACCAAATTGTACATGCAGTAACTACGTGGATAGATAATAGGCATATAACATGTATGCATCCAAAAACAAATGGAAGCCATTGAAATAACATGGATTATATCTGTATTATAGATTGAAATGAGTTTTATTGAGTCTTTATCACATTGACTTTATCTTCACTTGGTAAGTATATTTTGAAAAAATAAAATATTTCTATTGTATAATTATAACTATCATTTCATCTGACAGAAATTGGATCATTCAGTAATTAAATTTTCTATATTAAAATTTCCTCTTAGCTATCTCAAAAAATAATAAACAGCTTTCAAATTAGAAGAGATAACTTCATATTTCCTGCAAGTTTTACTCTAAACAGAGCAAGAAAAGCAAAGGTCATAGGGTTAGATATGTTTTCAAATATCTAATAGATACTAAGTTTTGCCCATGTAATGAATGCCCATGTAACGGATGACACAAATTATATGTTCATATATTCAGTAATTTATCTAGATTCATAAATATATCAGTGAAGCTCTCCACCCACACCCCACTCAGGATAGTGATTTAAAATAAAGAAATTATTAGCAGCAACCTAGTTTAACTTATTCAGATGAACAAACAAATGTCCAGAGGAGTTGTGTTTTTTCTTTATACCACTGGGTAAATTGACTAAGGTTCTTAGATCTCCTGACTTTCATCATCTGTAAATTAGAGATATTATTAATGCCTAGAGCTTCTGGAAGTTGTAAGAATTGCTCTAGATTGCATTTTTCCCTCTTAATTTTATTATAGTTTTATTTTTTAAGTTTTATGAATACATAATAACTGTACCTTTTTATGGAGTACATGTGATATTTTCATACAAGTATACAATCTGGAATGATCAAATCTGGGTTGTTAGGATATTAATTACCTTAAAATGTACTGTATATTTCAACATAACTAGAAGAGATGGCATTATGAGTCTCTAGAACAGTAAGTACCTGCTAGAAGTTAATGCCTGATAAGCAATGCTGATTGCCTTCTTCTTTTCCAGAGTCACACAGCTCTCAGTGTGGCAGGCTGGAGGGAGAAATTACACTTTCTTCATTGACAGATATAATGAGTCTTTATGGAGATTACAACCACTGAATCACAAACAAAAATTTTAAAAATGAGAATAACAAAATACTGAAATTTATTATCATTGCAATTGTTTTTGCAAACATAACACCATAGTTATATAACATTCTGTTAATATTCACAGTAAAATCCTTTATTCATAGCAGGTGTAAAGATATTTTCTTTCTGAAAATGAGCTGAGTCTTGTTCCCAGACCTGAACTCACTCTGCCATGTTTTACCTTAGCAATTTATACTAGAAAAATTTCAGATTCTCCTGAAAAGTGGCAGAAGATAGTATGAAATGGAATCAAGTTTAGAAGATGCTCTATCAGTATAAGTCAATGTCGGGTGAGTTGGTAAGCTGGAAAATAGTTCCCTAAACTTGAAAGCAATAATCCAGAATTATGTGGAGTCTGGAGAGATTTAACAAGACCATTAAGTGGCTTCAGATACTTTAAGAGCAGAAGATTGCCATTTTATTTTTGATTTTGCAGTTGCCATGACTTTCTTCGCTGATGTAAGCTTTTATCGGGACTTGTAAAGAGAGTGAACATTAGCTGCTGACTAGCCTGCTGCTTTCTATTGATTGTTTTCAATCTGTGAATCTTTCCTCTATTGAGCCAACAAGGAATGCAGCATTAAAATGCCATGTTTACCAAAATTGTTTCTCTGCAGTTTAAGATGCTGGTTTTAACAAGTCTGATAAGGAAAACTGACCTTCTTTAGTCCAGCACCATCCAAAGACTCTCACAGGCAGCTCTTCAAAAGGAAAAGAAAACTAAGATTTATCCTCCTATTAAAGGAAAAGGGTCTGGCTATCTTAAATCCAACATACTGCACATTTGTAATATAGAAAGTTTAAATTCTAATAGTTTTAACTTCACAGAAAAAAAAGGAAAATTAAATTATTTTTAAAAATAATCACACTAAGTATTCTTTAAATGTATCATAGAAAAGTTCAGTTTGTTTTAATTTAGCATAGTGGAACACCAGATTCAATAGTATTGTCAAAAAAAAAGTATACAAAGAACTACTTTTTAAGTTAAATAGCATTTATGCTATGGCCCCGCAGAATCTAGGAGCTAGCATGGGCTTGTTTAACATTTTGTGACATATAGAAAAATAATTAAAATATGCATATTTTATTTTCATATTTGCAATCTAGATGATATAGGGCTGTTATTTCCTTTATCAAGGTTTAGTTTATTCATCTGTACAGTCGAATAGCAACACATATCTTATAGTTTTGACTTAAAGATTGAATGCAATACAAAATATTTGAGTAAAGTGAAATACTCACTATATATTTGTAGAGTCTTAATTTTAAAACAACAGTAAACTTTTCATTGATGTTAATGAACATTTATTAGCATTTGATAATACTCTGTTTTATAACATCCATATGCTTTGAATTTTTTTTGTATATCCAGTCAGTATGTTGATACTTCTCCACTGACAATTGCATGCATTGAAATGTAGCATGCTGACAGCTTGAGGTCCAAGCACATTCCATCCGCTCATGTTCTATACAGTATTTATGAACTCGTGATACTGCTTATTAGATAATGTTTTATCTGTAATTATACAATATATCATTTAATTTAGTGAGCTCTCTGAGGCTTAGGAATGCATGGTAGTCTAGAATGTAAACTCTAGTATTTATTTTGAAACCTCTTTGAGGCTCAATGTCTTTATCAGTAAGTGGGAAATAATACCTCACATAGTTTCTTCTCGAGTCTGTTGGTAAGATAAAATATTATGTTGAACGTCAAAGAAAATGGTAAATTATAAAAGAATACCCAAATATTTAGGCTATTATAATATTGTATAATTCTAAAATTTGTCTCAACATAGAAGGTTTTTGTAGATTCTAATTTGTGGGATTGGTTTATATATAGAATTCTCAGCGAGGTCTTCCAATAGTGTATCTTGACTAAATGAAAATCGACATTTAAAATGGTCCAAGAAAAGTGCTAGCCATTGAGTCTGCACGAGAACACGTTAGGGAAATAAAAATTTAAGGTTCTGTGTGAATGGTATTTAAAACAGAAGCAGATACCATTTGCCAAAAGGATCGGCAGTATGGAGGAATTATATGTGTTCCTATTGCTGGAAGGTGTTCCAGACATACTAATATGTAAATTATTAAGAAAATCACAGTCCAGAGAAATATACAATTAAAACTTGCTCTGGATTGTAGATCAACAAAGGAGTGCCCCCCAAACTAGACTGGGGCAAGAATAAGACAAGTAAGAGTCCTTATTAATGAAAAAAGGGCAAAGGGATAATAGCTAAAAGGAGTTGTAGATTCAATTGAGTATTATTATTATTAGTTCAAGAAGTGATAAATGAGAATATTTTTACATAAAAGTGGATTTGTCATCCACATGAACACTGAAGTTGCAGAAGATAAAGGAAGGGGCCTGGACAGAAAGGGTAAAGGTGAGTCTTATAGTGGACATCAGCGAGGGCCCAGGAGGCCAATTATAAGAAGAATCAGAAAAGGAAGATGATAGTCTTCTAGGACTTAATAATCTGGAATTGGCAGTGTAGAAATACACCAAGCAGAAAATATGAACCCTGATATATAATATGGGAGAGAATGTGTTGCTGGTCCTCATGGGCCACAGGGAAATAAAAGCTCAATGGGAAAGCCTCGTTCTGTTGGGGCATAATGGACCATAAAACATGTGTGGAGGTACAAAGGAGGTAAAAAAGCTCATATACAATGGATTTGGGTTTCTAGAAGCCATAGCACAAAAATATAAATAAAAGAGAATGAGTTAGCAAGCAGAGTCAAAAAGAGATTTTATTGTGTTTTTATTTTTTGGTATTATGTCATAGACATAAACAAAAGAAAGACCATGTGAAGACATGGAGAAGACAGTCATCTACAAGCTAGAAAGAGAGTTCTCAGAAGAAACTCACCTTCCTAACACCTTGATCTGGAACTTCTAGCCGGCAGGACTATGAGAAAATAAATTTGTAATATTTAAGTCATCCAGTCCGTGTTACTTTGTTAAGGCAACCCTAGAAAACTAAAACACCTGATCCTATCTGTTTCAACATCTCCCATTATACACAGGCCGTTATTTGATATTGATTAAGAACAGAGATCTTCCAAAGGTAAGCTGTTGAACTGTGCAACAAGGATCAATTATTTCAGTAGAATACTAAATTATTAATAAATCTCCTGGTTTGGAAGCCATTAACCATCTGTGAATGAAACAATATGTAATGAAATTTGTTACAGTTAACTGTGGTGTGTTAAAGTTCCATGTATTTACAGACAGGAAAATGGATTGAGCTATAAGGAATAAAACTATTGAAATGTCTATAACAACCCTTTCAGTAAGAAGAGAAGACATATTGTTGAGAAGTAGAGTAAGTGAAGAAGACATATTGTGGCATAGTTCTGTTGGGGCTAGAAGGATATTTTAAGATCACCTAATTTCCATAAACTTCAGAAAGGGATGAAATCTAGTTTCACAAAATTCTATAATTAACATGAACTATATTTTCATAAACAGTTAACATGTATCCTCAAATATTAGATAATGTAAAATGGCATTGATATGAAATTTTCTAATCTCAGGCACACAAATGCCTCATAGTCTTAGACCCTCGAGAATCATAATCACTAAAAAAATAGCCTTATTGCTTCTACATACCTACTAAGTTATATCAGTTGTGTTAACATTTAAATGATAAACAAGAAGATGACTGTATCAGTCATGGTCACAACACTCAAAGCAAAATTTCACAAGAATTTAATACATTGATTATATGATACAGTCAGGTCCTATAATCAATTATTTCTGGTAATTATTCTTTATTTGGGTAAGTAGAGAAGTGAGGGTAAACATTTTTATTTTTCAAAATGTATCTAGGATTTCTTATTATTGATGCCAGAACAAATGTCATCTTTCATGTAGAATACTTTAAATTAAAAATTGTAAATGTCTCTTGCTCAGAATTGCCTAAATATTGCACTAAATACTTTAGTGATAAAATCATGGACTTGGGAGTCATTGAGCCAATTATTAATTGTGACTTTTACTAATTATATAATCTAAATATATAAAATTGTATGACCTGGGTGCTTTACACATAAGCCAACCCCAGCTTCCTCGCCTGTCTTGTGATAAACACAGTTTTTCTCTAATTGAGAGGTTGCTGAAGAGTAAATGACATAATATCTGTAAGTGGTTGGCAGAGGACCTAGCATAAAATAAGAAATTATTAATTTCTAGGATTTTCCAATGTTCTATGAAGTATTGTCTTTTCTTGTGATTCAAGGAATGGCATTATGTCAGTTAAGTATACTAAGACATCAGCTGATTACTAATACACAGAATTATTTTAATATATAAAACTATGAAAATCTCCAAAATGTTATTCAAGAGAAAAGAACAAAGTACACATGCAATTTCCAACATCACATCAAAGCAGTTGGTAGTTATTCTATTTAAGATGAAGTTGGGTTTGGTTCAGTCTATAAAATGTCTGCTGAATAAAAAGGGAAAAGACATTTAAACTTGATATGGCAGGTGTACTGTGGAATAACTAACAGGAGTATCACAGCTTTTCTTTTAGTCAAACAGACATGATTTAAATTCTTGCTTTGTTAACTTTTGCAAACTGCTTAAACTCTTCTCAACTGCTCTTGCATGAGGTGGGCAGAATAATTCCTGTTCCACAGGTTAGTTATTAAGATGAAATAGTTAATTCTTGGTACATGATAACCATAGAATAAATAGCATTATAGTTATCATCACAATCTATTATTATAGTGATTATAATAATCATTGTGTTGCTGAAACATCATTCCTTCCTGGAGAAACCAAGATTCTATCATACTTTTCCCCCAAATGGTAGCAGTCCAGAGTCATGTTTTCTTACATATGCAGAGGAAGAAGGCAAAGTAGGAAATCTGTAATGGACTGGATACGTCTAACTCATTATGGTGAGAATTAACGTCTATTACTTTGTTAAAAAATAATGAGACTTTCTTTCAATCTGTCAATTTTCCAATTCTTCTATTATATATAGAGATTATTTGAGTCAAAAAGACATTATACTAGACGTAATACTAGAGACTCTTAGCCAAAATATTGTACTATCTGTTCATATGAAACCCATTTCAAACATAAGCTACAACAAAAATGATTTTAAAATATATTAAAATGGGTAACTGTTACCAAAAAGCCAGGGATTCGGTGTAAATCCTACTGCTCACTGCACAGAAAGCCAATCTCTGAGGCAATAAGTCTTGCCGGAGAAGAAGGTTTCATTCGGATGCTGCAGCCAAGGAGAATGGAAGATGAGTCTCAGACCCATTTTCCTGATGGACTAAAGTTGGAGGTTTATATAGTTGGGAAGAAATGTAACCGTGTGTGGAAAAATAGAAAATTGGGAGAGGTAAGGAAGAGAGTTGGCCAATAGGAAGCTGGTGGTTGGTTAGGCAATCATGATGGGTGAGGGTTCTGGGGTCCCAATATCCTAGAGCTGTGATCTGATAAGCTTCAGTTCCTTGATACTATCTCAGAGGCCTAATCCTTGGTTTCCTGAGAAAGGACGTCAAATAAAACAAATGTAATTTTCTTATGTTTTACAACTGTGAGGGTCAATTTCTATGTTTATTTAAAAGAAATCATAAACATCAGTTCTGTGGGACAGTTGGGCTGGTTTCAGAACTAATTCCACCATAAAAGGGCAAACAACTCCTTTGACTAGAATTAGAACAAAAATAATTTGGAAACATGGAGGCCTGATGTCTCAGTCCTTTGAACTCCAGTAATACAAATAGGCAGAGGTAATTTAAAAAAAAAAATTCAGATCTTTCAGGGTATAGTAAAAAATGTATTTTTTTGGTGGAGCACTGGAGTCATTTTCAGAGCATGGAACCACTGTGAATGGAAACTGTAAATTTCTGTGATGTTGCCTGAGGCTGCAGCCTTTTTATTTGCTCTGTAGCCACCAAGACCAGGACCAAGCCATACAGCATCTTAGGAAACAGATCTATCCTCTTTCTTCAGAATTAGAATGTTAAATTCCTAATATATGTCCTCCTTCTGGCATGAAATGCAAATATAAAAGTCTTATACATACAAAGGAAGCAGTAGAGAAGAAAAAAAAAAACTTAAACGGCCATTTAAGATAAACTGATCCTACATATTAACATTTCTAAATAACCAAGAAAACACAACATCAAAACAGATACAAAACTAAATCAACCAATGGAATAATTCACTCCTGAGAAAATAAAAATAAATGGGCTATCTTGAAGAGGGGTTTAAGATAAGAATTTTAAAAAATTCTCAGTGATGGGCCAGGCGTGGTGGCTCACGCCTGTAATCTCAGCACTTTCGGAGGCCGAGGCGGGTGGATCACGAGGTCAGGAGATCGAGACCATCCTGGCTAACACGGTGAAACCCCGTCTCTACTAAAAATACAAAAAAATTAGACAGACGTGGGGGTGGGCGCCTGTAGTCCCAGCTACTCTGGAGGCTGAGGCAGGAGAATGGCTTTAACCTGGGAGGCAGAGCTTGCAGTGAGCCGAGATGGCGCCGCTGCACTCCAGTCTGGGCGACAGAGCCAGACTCTGTCTCAATTAAAAAAAAAAAAAATCTCAGTTATAAAGAAATGAATGACATCAACAAAGCAAAAAATAAGGTATAAACAGAGTGCTCAGATATAGAAAAGGAACATGTTAAAGGAGAAAAAAAAAAAAGAAGAAACTAAAGAGAAATGCTCACTTTGGACTCATGTGGAAAGAGAATACTATAAAATAGATCCAGATCCCAGGACAAAAATATAAAGAGATAGATATATAAAGGAACATTTAAAAGAAATTTGTATTCACTAGGAGTAAATGAAAAATAGATTAGAAGATGAAGGAATAAATAGACAAGCAATATTTAGAAGATTCTAGATAATAAGTTTCTTTAATGGAAGAGGCACATAGGCCTTCATATTGAACGTCTGCAAGCAGTAATGAGAAAGATAAATACAAATGAAATTATAATAAAAGCAGTATAGAAAAACTGCAGGATATCAGTGTATTAGTTTTTTATTGTCTTGTAAAAAATTATCATAAACTTAGCAGCTTAAATAAACAAGCATTTATCAATAATCTAGAGAAGTGTGAATTTCTCTAGGTCAGAAGTCCAGCAGTGTGCGTGGGTTCTCTTCTCAGGACATCACAAGCCTGAAATCAAGGTGTTGGGTCAGGTGCAGTTCTCATCTGGAGGCTCCGGGGAAAAATCTGCTTCCAAAATCTTTCCTATTATTGGCAGAATTAAGTTACTAGGTTGTAGGGTTAAGATTGCTGTTTCCTTGCTATCAGCCAGGAGCCGTGCATAGCCGCCTGTGTTATTTGGCCCCATTTATTGAGTGACCTGAAAGGCTGCCAGTTCTGAATGGGATCCAGAACAGGAGAAAGCTCTGCAACAGGTCCAGGCTGCTGTGCAAGCTCCTCTGCCACTTGGGCCATATGATCCAGCAGATCCAATTGTGCTTGAGGCATCAGCGGCTGATAGGGATGTTGTTTGGAGTCTTAAGCAGGCTCTTATAGGTGAATCACAGTGGGGGCCCCTAGGTTTTGGAGCAAGGCCATCGTCTGCCATCTTCTGCAGATAACTATTCTCCTTTTTGAGAGACGGCTCTTGCCCTGTTACTGGGCTTTGGTAGAAACTGAATGTTTGACTGTGGGTCATCAAGTCACCATGCGACCTGAACTGCCTATCATAAACTGGGTGTTTTCTGACTCATCTAGCCATAAAGTTGGGCATGCACAACAGCATTCCATTATCAAATGAAAGTGGTATATATGTGATCGGGCTTCAGCAGGTCCTGAAGGTACAATTAAGTTACATGAGGAAGTGGCTTAAAAATGCCCGTGGTCTCCACTCCTGCCAAACTTTGCTTAGAAGAAGAAATGACAAGATGTGTGATTATATACCTATTCATGGGCTGTAGGCAATGGTTTGGTTGGATGGTCATGGACTTGGAAGAAGCATCATTGGAAAATTGGTGACAAAGAAATCTGGGGAAGAGGTATGTGGACGGACCTCTCTGAGTGGTCAAAAACTGTGAAGATATTTGTATCCCATGTGAATGCTCAGTGACCTCAGCAGAGGATGATTTTAATAATCAAGTGGATAGGTTGATGCATTGTGTGGGCACTAATTAGCCTCTTTCTCTAGCCACCTCATTATTGCCCAATGGGCCCATGAACAAAGTAGCTATGGTGGAAGGGATGGGGATTATACATGGGTTCAGCCACGATTTTCACTCATCAGGACTGACCTAGCTACAGGCACTACTGAGTACTCAGTTTGCCAGCAGCAGAGACCAACACTGAGCCCTCGATAGGGCACCATTCCTCGGGGTGATCAGCCAGCTACTTGGTGGCAGGTTGATTACATTGGACCTCTTCCATCAGGAAAAGGGCAGTGGTTCATCCTCACTGGAATAGACACTTACTGTGGATATGGGTTTGCCTATCCTGCACACAATGCTTCTGCCAAGACTATCATCTGTGGACTCCTGAAATACCTTATTCACCATCATGGTATTCCACATAGACTTGCCTATGACCAAGGCACTCACTTTATGGCTAAAGAAGTGTGACAGTGGGCTCATCCTGATGGAATTCACTGGTCTTGTCATGTTCCCCATCATCCTGAGGCAGCTGGATTGATAGAACGGTGGAATGGACTTTTGAAGTCACAATTACAATGCCAACTAGGTGACAATACTATGCAGGGCTGGGGCAAAGTTCTTCAGAAGGCTGTGTATGCCGTGAATCAGCATTCAATGTATGGTACTGTTTCTCCCATCACCAGGATTCACAGGTCCCAGAATCAAAAGGTGGAAGTGGACATGGCACCACTCACCATCACCCCTAGTGATCCACTAGCAAAATTTTTGCTTCGTGTTCCTCCGACATTACATTCTGCTGGCCTAGAGATCTCATTTCCAGAGGGAGGAACGCTGACACCAGGAGACACAACAACGATTCCATTAAACTGGAAGTTAAGGTTGCCACCTGGACACTTTGGGCTTCTCCTACCTCAAATCAACAGACTAAGAAGGGAGTTACAGTGTTGGCTGGGTAACTGACCCAGACTATCAAGATGAAATCAGTTTACTATTCACAATGGAGGTAAGGAAGAGTATGTGTGAAGTACAGAAGATCCCTTAGGACATCTCTTAGTATTAACATCCCCTGTGCTTAAGGTCAATGGGAAACTACAACAACCCAATCCAGGCTAGACTACAACTGGCCCAGATCCTTCAGGAATGAAGGTTTGGGTCACTCCACCAGGTAAAAATTCATGACCTGCTTAGGAGCTTGCAGAAGGCAAAGGGAATACAGAATGGATAGTCAAAGAAGGCAGTGTCAATACCAGCTACGACCGTGTGACCAGTTGCAGAAAGGACGACTGTAATTGTCTTGTGTATATCTTCCCTATTTTGTTAAAAACATGTTTGTGCATGTATACACTTTTATTAGAAAATATCTTCATTTTATTTTCTTTCTTTTTCCTTTATCATGTGACATAGGTTTACTGACATCATATCAGCATTTAAGTGTTAACGTTATGTAATAGCATTTAGGTTAAGGATTGGTGCACTTCTGGTTGTATGAAAGATAGCTGTATTATGTTAGGCATAATTATGATCTTGTTATTGTCTTTATTTGAAGATTTTGTATGATTTCAGGAGATGTGTTGGGTTCAAGTTGACAAGGGGTGGATTTGTGATGGTTAATACTGAGTGTCAATTTGATTGAATTAATGGATGCAAAGTTTTGTTCCTGGGTGTGTCTGTGAGGGTGTTGCCAAAGGAGATTTGGCATTTGAGTCAGTGGAGTGGGAGAGGAAGACCCACCCTCAATCTGGGTAGGCACCATCTAATCAGTTGCCATTGCAGCTAAAATAGAGCAGGCAGAAGAAAGTGGAAAGAGAAAACTTGCTGACTCCTCCAGCCTCCATTTTTCTCCCAGGCTGGATGCTTCCTGCTCTCGAACATCAGACTCCAAGTTCTTCGGCTTTTGGACTCTTGGACTTACACCAGTGGTTTGCCAGGGGCTCTCAGGCCTTTGGCCACAGACTGAAGGCTGTACTGTCAGCTTCCCTAGTATGGTGTTTTGGGACTTGGACTGGTTTCCTTGCTCCTCAGCTTGCAGATGGCCTATTGTGGGACTTTGTGATTGTGTGAGTCAATACTCCTTAATAAACTCATCTTCATATATACATCTACCCGATTAGTTCTGACCCTCTAGGGAACCCTGACTAATATACTTCCAAAGGTTATTCACACTCCTTGTCATATGTCCCTCTCCATCTTCCATTCAGCAATGGTGCATGAGATCCTTTCTGTGCTTTAAATTTCTTGACTTCTCTATTTCTGATTTGCAGATGCTTATTTAAAGGGCTTTCATAATTAGCTGAGGCACACCCAGTTAATTTCTGTATTTTAAGGTCAGTGGCTTTGTGACCTTAATTATATTTGTAATATCCCTTAACATCAATACCTAGATTTGTGTTTAACTGAGTAACTGGTAGAAGGTGTGTATATACCAAATGCTGGGAATATGAGGGACCATTCTACCTGCCACAATGAGACAAAATAATAAAAATCTTAAACTATATGTATGTACACACACACATACACAGAACTTACAAACAATGACAATTTGGTTGCTAGAAAACTTCTGAATAGTAGCTGTAAATGCCAGAATACATGAGTGTGAGGAAGTAAACCTGTTAATATAAATTTTATAGTAACTTTAATGTTTATTCCAATTCCAGGGCAAAAACAAATATTTCAGCCCTATAACAATTAATAAAAGACTTGGAGTTAACTGCAAATTTCATGAATTTCATGTGGCAATATTCCCTTCTCTAATTAACCTTAAATTTATATCACATTATAGATACACAGAAAAATTAAATACATTCTTTTTATATTTAAAAAGTAATTGAGTAAACATATCAAACTAAACACACACATCCACTTTTTTCTTCTTTTGAAACTAATACTAAAACAGCGGGTTATCTTTAAAGGCATTATCCCCCCCAAAAAATAACAGTGAAATGAGAAAATGGACAACAGTAGCATTGTGGAAGCTAGAAAGAAGATTGACTAAGAAGATCCATAAAATACAAATATTTAATTTGCAGAGGGGAAAACAAAGAACCACCTTAATCTGTATCACAGAAATCTCAAAACAAAAAGGACTTGGCAGCTGAAGGTCCTGACATCTAAGGGTAGGTGGCCAAAGGCTAGAATAAGAAAAGTTGCTGAATTACTGTTTTTAAAAATGTTAGAACTATAAGGGTCGGATTCTCTAGTAAAGGAGCCTGAGACAGAAATTCAGATGCTTTTGACTTAGTAAGCAATTAGAGTAGAATAGAAAAAGGAAAAAATTAGCACAAAACTGTGTTCTTAGGTAAAATGTTGCATGAAGTGCTTCACAGAGTAATACTGAGGCAAAGGCATTCATCTTTTTATCTATGTAAACAGTTATCCTAAGACACATTCAAAATTATTCAAAGGGATAATTCACTCTTGAAGAAACTTAAGCAGTAGAAGTTATTGGGCAGAAAAAGCTGTAAGAATGTTCCAGACAGAAGTAACAATATGTGCAAAAGAGTAAAGGTGAATATGTCTATGTGTGAATTTGGGAGACTGCTGCTATTACCCCAAAGATGTTATGACACAATATTAAATACAAATTGTAGTTCTTTTGGATAAATGTTTACTTTTAATTGCATTGGAGATAGTTCCATACTTAAATATTAGGTAAATGTAAAAAAAAATTAAAGGATTTATTATAAAACTTACTTTGCAATGATTACTCCTTAGACTCTAATTTTTGAAGATGATCTAGAAAGCTCATGAATGAAACACATACTGTTTTGCTTACTCTGCAATAGGGTTAAGTCTTAACTGGAAAAGAGCAGGAAAAAAATCTTAAAACATAGATATCTAAAGGTTATTTGAAGACCAATCTGGCATATAGAATATTCTTATTCTGCCATTTTCTGACTTCACTTTGGATTTTAATATCTTAGGAAGCTATTTTCCTCTTTAACACTGATTTTTATGGAAATCAAATGAAGCTTAGTTACCTCACCATGTACCAATTCCTCAGTGATATTTTTAACTTCTGATTATCTTATTAATGGTTGTAGTAGCCAGATTTTCCTAAAAATTCTTCAGTATAACTATGGGTAGGCATTTGTGCTAGCTTTGAACAAAACAAAACAGAACTTCCTATGTTCAATTTACAAAGGAAATTTTAATATTGTGTGACTAACTTCCAATTACAAAGCTGAACTCTAGATAAACAAGTTAAAATAATGACATTTTAAGGAATTTTCTTTCCATTTTTATTCTGTGTTTGTGTTTTATGTGTAAATTTATAAATATATCAGCATATTTTCTGAAAGCCCTAGCATTTATAATAATGGAAAATAGAGGTTACTTTAAAATTAGAATGATTTTAAATGTAAACACTACTCAGGACTTTGCACATAATTATGTGTATAGCAGGAACTATATTGATATTTGTAGTATCGTTGATCTATTAATAAACCCATCACAGTTTATCAATAGTTGTGCACCATGGTGCAATTGTACCAGTTAAGATGAGAATATGAATGAAAATTTCATGATGAGCTTAATGCTTTCATAAGAAGAAACACCAGAGAGCTTGCAGTCTCTCTCACTCCTTGTACTATGTGAGGAAAAAGTGAGAAGAGGGCCATCAGCAAGCCAGCAAGAGGGCCCTCACCAAAAACCAACCATGCTGACACTTTGATTGCAGACTTCTAGTCTCCCAAATTGTGAAAAAAGAAATTTCTGCTGTTTAAGGCACACAGTCTGTGGTATTTTGTAAGGGAAGGCCAAACTGACTAAGACAGCAATTTTCAATGACGCTCCCACAATTAGTGTATATTCTGACAACATACTCCTGAGAGCTATCCAAGGGCATTTACCCAACATTGCAATGGTTCAAAAATCAAGATCATATGCAGTCTTTTCTATTCAAGTATACTGAACTTCAAGTTCTCTCCACTTAACTTGTTTTTCCATGATGTGTTTATAAACAGAACATACTTTTCTTTGTAAAACACTTGATACATAAACCACAGGGAGATAAAAATATGTGTTTAGACAATGTAAAAAATATACTAGCTTACAGATTGACAAAAATGAAGTAGAATGTTTATCAACAGTATGAGGGTAATATAAGGAAAAACGAATATGTGTTAAGGTGCTGTGGAATGAATTCAATGAATATAGAGATAAAATCTTTTAATTTTATGGAATTCAATTATTTGAAATTTTATAACTATAAACTATCAAAATTTATTTTTAATAGCAAACCACCCTGAGCTGATACATCTGTCAAAAAAATCTTCACTTGCTAAACATCTCTCAAATATAACTCAGTAGGGCAAATCTTTCCAAATAGCTTGTTTCTTTAACAAGCTACTAATGCAAGGTAAAATGTTACTGTACTTACAATTTCAAATAAAGTTGCAATTTTAATTTTAAATTTAGGATAAAGCATTAATAAAAATTATTTGACTAGAAACATTAAAGAATCTGGATTTTAAAAATGACATTGTCGAGCATTTCTTAATATTATAAATTGTTTTGATGCCATTCTGCCACTTCCTGCCACATATATACATGTGTTTATTTTGTTTGTGTGTGTATGTGTTTGTGTGTATATATGTGGCATATATGTGTACACACCTTGTAGGTCAGGAAATAGAATAATCTCAACAACTGCAGAAGGCTGTCTTGTGCACCTTTATTCCACTTAGAAGTATGCACTAATCTGTCTCCTATTATCATCAATTACTTTTGCCTTTTTTAAACTTCATATAAATGGAATTAGACATCATATACCCTTTTATAGCTATATTCCTTTATTTATCATTATAAATGTAACATCTTCTATGTCATGTGAATCTGTGCTTTTTCTTTTTTGTTGCTGAGTAATATTCTATTGTGTGAATATACTACAATCTGTTTTTCCATTCTTGTGTTGACTGAAGTTTGATTATTTCCAGATTTTGGCAATTACCAATGGAATTGCTATGAATACTCTTACCTTTCTCTTAGGTATATATTTAGGAGCATGACTGCTACATCACAGGCAGGTATATGTTTTGCTTGAATGGTTCGGAGTTTGGATCAATTTACAATCTCACATTATGAGAGCAAACTATGTCTCCAGCTAAATCTCACTCAGAGTGAGGTTTTCACATATATTTTATTATCTCTAAAATTGCAAAAACCTCCCAAGTATTTTCCTACTAATTATAAAAGTTACACAAAATCAAATACATTTATATTAGGTAGAAGGAGGGACTAATGACATAAAGTGTTTTTTTTTTCTTAATAAGCAGCTTCCTATTCTGCCTTCACCCATTGAGTTGTGCTGTCTCTGATTTAAAATTGTGCTTTCAGATATCAAAGGATTCTAGGCCAAGCCTTTAAAAAAAATCTAAACTCTAGATTTTATAAAGAATTTATTACAGAATGCCGATTCTTTAATTTTTCCAACCATAAACGTATTTACAGGGGGCTTTCACTTTGTCCAAATTTGGAAGACTATTTTTGTAATTGAGATAAAATCTACAATGTTAACAAATGACCATGTTATACTGTTACTGGTGGTCATTTATATAAAATACTCCATTTTATTTGAGCTCATGTTCGTTCAATTTCAGTATTATATTTCTGAATGAGAAAAGTACAATTCAAGGTGTTTAGGTTAAGGACTGCTGAACATCTTCTAATTCACAAACCTCCCACTCAGAGAGTTTCCAGGAGAAACAAGAACAAAATATTTGTTTTACTGTTTTCTATTTCACAATACAGTAAAAGAACTACTTTTTCTTACTCTGTAACAGAATGCTGACTCTTATTCTATTTCATATGAGGTAGTCAGTAAAATAAATGCTTTATCATTTTATTGTTTTCAATAAATAATATCTGCTACTTCAAAATGTATATGACTTTAGGTTTCAAAGTTTTTATTAGATTTATCATATTTTAAAATAAGGTTTAGTAATTTTGTACTCCTGGACATAGTAATTTCATGCTCTTCTATCTATGATAATGTGGTAATTTTTCACTATACTAGAAAATCATACGGAGGTTGAAGTGCATAGTTTGCAATAGAAGGTAGGTGTACTTAAAATTAAAAAAAAGTTACAAATAAATTCACAAGGCTTTAATATTGAGGAATAAATAATATACTTTAAAATAGAATTTTATGGTAATGAAAGGATTAATGTCATCACAATACACAGATTTATTTGCACTTAAACAAGCCCCTTAAGATCAGTTTGAAGTCTTCAAATTCGGAATGTTTCCTGGAAAAGCACAAATTAATACCTGTGGAGAAACAAAGAATAGTTGCCTTGATCTGTCACAGTATTAAGTTTATCATATTATGATACATACATATATTAGAATGTATCATATTGGGAAAAATCTAAAACAGATGTAAGAAATATTAAACAGACCCAATGTTTATGTCTCCCTGATACTAATATTCAGGTAAGATGGAGAAAAACCCCAGTAGAAGGTCCATTTATTTTCTACAGAAGATTTCTTCAAATTCTTCAGGCTTGTATCTGCCTCTAGCAGATGTTTTTTCCCTGATCTGTTTTTCAGAATATTCCTTTATCTCTGGGAAAACATAACAAGGGAAACAACCCATTTTCTTGATTTATAATACAAGCCAACAAAATCTTTCAAAATACACATGCATCTTTTGCATAAATAGCATGATTTATTTAAAAGCGATTCGGAGATGAATTTCTGGTTATATTACAACACTGTAAGTGATTTTAAAATAATACTGGATATTTGTGCTCTCAGTTTCGTTGGCCATTCTACCAGTTTGCTCAGCTATCCTGTTTCTCTTCTTTCTGCCTAGTGAAATTATATGTATGATTATATGATGGTCCTATTCTTTCTTATCCTTAGTCTTAATCCCACACATCTTCAAATTACATATATATGTATATACATATACATTTCATGTAAATAAAATATATATGTACATTTGTCTACTACCCATGATTTATCCATGATATATGCCACCAGATCATGATATGATAGCCAGGTATTTTATATATATATATATATATATATATATATATATATATATATATATATATACACACATACACATACACACACACATACATATATATGTATGTATATATACACATATATATATATATATATATTTTTTTTTTGACAGGGTCTTTGTCACCCTGGTTGGAGTGCAGTGCCTCCGCCATTGCTCATTGCAGCCTCAAACTCCTGGGCTCAAGTAAGCCTTCTACTTTACCCTCCTCAGTAGCTGAGACTACAGGCACAGGCCATCATGCCCAGATAATTTTTTTTTAAGAGAGAGAGTCTCACCATGTGAGACTCTCATGGTGGACTTTAAGCCCAGGCTGGTCTTCAAGTCCTGACCTCAAGTGATCCTCCCACTTTGGACTCCCAAAGTGCTGGTATTTTGTGAGCCACTTGGTGGATCATGATGTAAGCCACAATGCCTTTCCCCAAAATAATATTTTCTTACACTGTTAGAATTTAATTTCCTTTTTTTTCTTTTTTTTTTTTTGAAAGAGAGTCTCACTCTGGTACCCAGACTGGAGTGCAGTGGCCAGATCAAAGCTCACTGCAGCCTCAAACTCCAGGGCTCAAGTGATCCTCCAGCATCAGCCTCCTAAGTAGCTGGGACTACAAGTATGTGCACCACTCTCCTAGTATTTTTTTAATTTTTTCTTTCAAATTTTTGTAGAAATAGGGTCTCACTTGCTTTGTTGCCCAGGCTTGTCTCAAATTCCTGGCTTTAAGCAGTCCTCCTACCTCAGCCTCCCAAAATGTTGGGATTACAGGCATGAACCACCAAGCCCAGCCTATTTCTTGAAACACTGGAAAATTTAAAGTTGAGGTAACGTTTAAGTTCAGAAAATTCAAAAAATAATAAAGCAAAGAAAAAAATGTGAGAGGGTAGCAAAGGTAAACTAAAGAGAAAAGAAAAATGTATAAAATTACAAGAGAAGAATAATAATGCAGAGCAGAAAATAGTATGTTGAGTAAGAGAGTAAGAATAAAATATTTTAAAAATATATTACCTCTTACCATTATATTATATTCCATTGCATTGCATTGTGTATACACACATATATCTGTATATCTATATAATATGAATATGTGTGCATATATAGTGTATTACAAAATATTTTGTAAACATTTTACAGTTTTTTTTAACTCAGTAACACTTTACTCATTTCAAAAGTAGGTGTTTGAAATGAAGTATATGAATTTTCCTCCTATTGAATATCTTGATTTAGACTAAGATACTTGAGCACATTGGGACAATCAGCTGCACAGGAGGAGGTGTGGACAGAGAGTTTTGAAGCTCAATGGCATGGGGCAGAGTGAGCTGAAGGTGAGTTCCAGCAGGCCCGAGTTCAAATCCTACACAACCACAAGATGGTTGAGTGTGCCAGCAATGACCAGCCCCTCAAGACCTCTTTTCCCACATTGGCTCCTCTGAGGGGCAGAGTAAATGCACTAAAGTTCCCAGAGCAGGGCCTGGCTTGCAAGTTTCTGGTAATAGGGGTTTCATTTACTGTTGCAACCATCTTTTATCATGATGGGAAGGGGCAGGCAAATGGAGAATGGCACATTGCTAGCTGCTGGGATGCTGCAGGCACTACAGAAGTAAGGGACCACCACTCCTCCACTGGGCATGGTAGGGTCTGGTCCTCCTCTCGGCCCCACAGCCCCCACAGTGGCACTTACCACATGCCATTATCACTGTGTGCCACCCTATCTCCTTCACTCAAGTCCAAGCCTGAGGGTAGCAGGACTCTGAGCGTGGACATCACCATGATGGGCAAGGCCTAGCAGAGCATGGATTCTCAAACATTGCTGGATGACGGAATCTAGCCATGCTTCTAGAACACTCACTCTCGGCTAGGCTCAGGGCTAGACATTCCTGAGTTCAACTGGTGCCCAGGGTGTTTGAAGGCAAACAAACAAGCAGAAAACAACAGTCTGTGTTGAGGGCTGAGGGAGTGAGCCCAAGGGCTCCAGGATCCCAGCTTCAAGAAATAGGGACTCTGGGCAAGACATCTCAGAGGAGGTAAGGGCAAGTGACAGCAACCTGAGCCCGGTAATTAATTGGAAGTCCTAGCGACAACAGCAGCCACCATCTGCCAAGCACTTTCTCTGATCCTCACAGTAGCCCTATAAAGTGAGGACTTTATTGTTCTCATTGTACAGAAGAGGAAGCTGAGGCCCACTTGCCCAAGGTCACAGAGCTTGGAAGTGCCCTGAAGTGTGGCACCAGAGCTCCAGAGCAGGAGCATGTTGAGGGGAGGCTGGGGAGGCCAAGTGCTAAGGGTCTTGGTGGTTGGGCAAGGAACTTGGACTTAACCTTCATGTCTCCCTGCTCCTCATTTTAATACATTCATGGGCTCTCAAAGTTGTATGAAGCCTCAGAGGTTATCTCCCAGCATTGCTACTTCCCTGGAAGGGGACCCTATTAAGCAGCCTCCCAAGAACCAACATTGAGAGGCAGCCTACGTGGTCACTGAAAACTGAGGTTGAGTCACCTGGGCCTTGCCAGTTGCATGATCTGAGGCGTGACAACTTACCAGGCCCAATTTCCTCACCTGTAAAATGGGAACTATGGTAAGTGCCTCTAGGTGGTTGGCACAGGATCTTCATTTATAGACCAGATCACCAGCTGGATGTTGTGGGCAGGACAGGGTTCTTATCATCTCCCCATTGCACAAAAGGTAAGGTTGTGGCTCAAGGGGGAAATGCCTCCCCACTCCAGTCCTGCGCTAGCTCAGGGCAGACCTGGGACTTGCCTTCTGACCTTCCTCACCCTCTGTGACCTCCTACTGCACCTCTCTCTGTCCAGGAAGACAAAACTCTGCTGAACTCTTGTGAAGCAGGAAATTCACTGGCTTCACAAAGCCCTGCTGTGGTGGCAACACCACGCTCTTCCTGTCTCATTCTCTCAGTGCTGGTTTGACCAGAGCTGTGGTTCCTTCTTCCTGGGTTTCTGGTCTCACCTCCACTCCATCACATCCAACACCTGCCCAACCCACTCTGTTTTTACTTCTCTAAGCTAGGGACAGTTTTCTTGCAAAGGTTCTCTCCTCCCTTTTATTACTTCTCAGCATCCTCCCCAGGCTTCTCTCTGTCCTTCTCCCATGTCGACCACCCCATGTCCATTAGCCTGAAAAAGCCTTGGCCCTGGGAGAAGACAGAGGCAGGAGCACTGAATTCGAAGTTGGTGTATCAGGCACTCTTCCTGGCTCCGCTCTGCCTGGTCTGATCAGGCTATGTCATCTGACATTTATAGGCTTCATTGTCCCCATCTATAAGAAGAGGAGCCCTGGTAACATAGTGAGACCCCATCTTTACTTTTTTCTTTCTTTCTTTCTTTCTTTTTTTTTTTTTTTTTACTATAAGCTGGGCAGGCATGGTGGCAGGCACTTGCAGTCCCAGATATTTGGGGAAGGTTGAGGCAGGAGGGTCACTTGAGCCAAGGAAATTGAGGCCATGGTGAGCTATGATCATGCCAGTGCACTCCAGCCTGAGAGACAGAGGGAGGCCCTGTCTCAAAACAACAACAACAACAACAGAGAGGTGGAGGAAAATAATGTCTTGGAAAAAAAAAGATACTTGAGTAGAGTAGTGTGATGGTTATTATTAGGTGTCAACTTGATTGGATTGAAAGATGCCTAGGTAGCTGATTAAAGTATTGTTTTTGGGTCTCTGTGAGGGTGTTGCCAGAGGAGATTAGCATTTGAGTTAGCACACTAGGAGAGAAAGACCCACCCTCAATGTGGATGGGCACCATCCAGTTGGCTGCCAGTGTGGCTAGAACAAAGCAGGCGGAAGATGGTGAAATAAGCTGGCTTGGTGAGTATTCTGGCTTTTATCTTTCTCCCTTGCTGGATGGTTCCATCTGTTCCTCTTGACCTTGGACATCAAACTCCAGGTTCTTCAGCCTTTGGACTCTGGGACTTATGCCAGTGGTTTTGCCGGGAGCTCTTGGGCCTTCAGCTACAGACTGCAGGGTGCACTGTCAGCTTCCCCACTTTTGAGGCTTTTGAACTCAGACTGAGACATTACTGCCTTCTCTCTTCCTCAGTTTGCAGACAGCCTATCATGGGACTTCACCTTGTGATAGTGTGGACGAAAAGAGTCCAACTCTGTAACATATTTGAAGAGATTTATTGTGAGCCAAATATGAGTGACCATGGCCGGTGACACAACCCTCAGGAGGTCCTGAGAACATATGTCCAAGGTGGTCGGGGCACAGCTTAGTTTTACCCATTTTAGACAGGCAGGAGACATCAATCAAATACATTTAAGGAATACCATTGGTTTAGTCCAGAAAGGCAGTATAACTCAAAGCAGGGGGGCGGTGGAGGGGGGTGCGGGGAGGTGTGGGGAGGTGGGGATGGGGTGGGTGGGCTTCCAGGCTATAGGTGAATTTAAACATTTTCTGGTTGACAATTAGTTGCATTTGTCTAAAGACCTGGGATTCATAGAAAGGGAATATTCAGGTTAAGATAAAGATTGTGGAGTCCAAAGTTCTTGTGAAGTCGTACAGTGGCTGCCCTTAGAGACAATAAATGACAAATGTTTCCTATTCAGATCTTAGTTAATCTCTTTAGGATTGGGAGGGTCTGGAAGAAAAAGATCTAGGTATGTTAATAGAGATTCTTTACAGATGCAAAGTATACCCCACAAAGAACAGATGTGCAGGGTCATTTCAAAATATGGCTACGAAACAGGTTTTGGTGTAAAATATTTTGATTTTCTTCCTTGTCTCATAATGTTATGCTAGAATCAGGTTGGAAAATAAGTCATGATATACAGGGTTAAATAAAACCCTTCTGATGAGAATTTATGATTTGTAGCACATGACTCCCCAGACCCCTTAAATAGGAATTTGTGCAAGATTTAAAAAAAATCAGAGTTTAGTCCTCAATAGTGTGAGCCAATTCTCCTTAATAAACTGTCTTTCATATACACACGTATCCTATTAGTTCTGTCCCTCTGGAGGATCCTTATACAAGTAGTTTAAATCAAAAAGGGCAATTATATTTTCTTTATTAATTAAAAAGTAATAGCCAGTTTTTTCCAACTTGTTTGAAGCCTTACAAAGCATTGTTTAAAGAGTTAACATAAAAAACCAGCCGAGCTCATAGAATTGAAGTGATAAGCTGAACAAAAATGAATTAAGACACTGCTTTTGATATACAGGTAATAGAAAAATGGAGCAATGAGACTAAGAAAACCTGTGGACATTTGTCTGAAATAAGAGAAAACATTTCACAGTTCAGAGACTTAACAGTGTTGGTAATAAACACAATTGAGCAATTGTACAAGTAACACAATCTTGTTACAATGTGTATCAAACGTCTACTGAGAAATATTGTTTATTTTCTTCCAAGTGGATGCACCAATTGATAGTTTTTATTTGGGAATGAGGGACTAAGTGGCTAAGTTGGCTGGATTTCCTGGGTCAATAGGGACTTCCCTAAGGGGACTTTCCCCTAAGCCAAAATGAGTCATAGTTGCAAGCTAAGAGATTGAAACTTCAACTAATCAAAGAGGATTCTCACCTAAGCCAAAATGAGTCACAACTGCAAGGTAAGGGATTGAAACTTCAACCAATCAAGGGGCACTTTCCGCTAAGCCAAAATGAGTCACAGCTGCAAGGTAAGGTATTGAAACTTCAACCAATCAAGGGGCACTTTCTGCTAAGCCAAAATGAGTCACAGCTGCAAGCCAAGGGATGGAAACTTCAACCAATCAAGGGGCACTTTCCACTAAGCCAAAATGAGTCACAGCTGCAAGCCAAGGGATGGACACTTCAACCAATCATATAGGAAGTTTAAGCTCTAGCTGCAGCCTGATGTTTTTAACCAAACAGGCCCGCCAACCCACAAGCAGATAGAAAATAAGCTAATTCTATAGGACAGAAAAAGGAAAAGGGGAGGGGTCATAAGGAGATATAAGCATAAGATACCCAAGCCAAAAATGGCAACCCTTCCGGGTCCCCTTCCACCGCCCGGAAGCTTTACTTTCGCTTTCACTTTTGCTTTAATTATGCCGCCCCACGCTCTTTGGGTCCGCACGTTTCTCTAATCGAGCTGTAACACTCGCCACTGTGGTCCACGGCTTCATTTCTTGAAGCCCGTGGGACCACGAACCCTTCGATTGAGAAAAGACCTTCCATCAGGAAAAGACTTCTTGTCTCAGCAAGTTGTCTACTGATGAATGTTGTACTTTTTATAAACAAAAATTGCATTAAGGAAAAAATAAAACTATGTATTTATACATAAATAACTGTTTTGACCATCAAAAATTATTTTGATAAAACTTTCATTGAAAATTTTTTAACCATACACTATGATATAGAGATAACATGGTGTGTTTTTGATACCCAGTTAAGTCTAATATTCTGATATTCACCTAAATTTTGTTTTTGCAAATAAGAGAAAGAAGTAATTGATTTCTAGTGTCTTTATCTTTTACGAAATCCCAACTTTCTTCTAAAACGCATTATCTCTCTCTGTCTCTCTCCCTGTTCTCAGAATATAAACATGGCCCTTGAAACTGTGGCTAGAACAGTATCTCCGACATGTTACCTACCTAAGAGAAAATATACTTTTAATAGCACATTGACATTTGGTCATTGTGATGGTTCATATTGAGTGTCAACTCAGTTAGATTGAAGGATGCAAATTATTGTTCCTGGCTGTGTCTTTGAGGTTGTTGCCAAAGGAGCTTAACAGCTGAGTCAGTGAACTGGGAAAGGCAGACCCAGCCTTAATCTGTTTGGGCACAATCTAAATCAGCTGCCAGTGCAGCCAGACTAAAAGCAGGCAGAAGAACGTGAAAAGACTACTCTGGCTTAGTCTCCGGGCCTACATCTTCCTCCTGTGCTGGATGCTTCCGCCCTTGAACATCAGACTCCAAGTTTTCAGCTTTGGGACTCTTGGACCTTCGACCATAGACTGCAGGCTGCACTATCGGCTTCCCTACTTTTCAAGTTTTGGGACTCAGACTGGCTTCCTTGCTCCTCAGCTTGCAAATGGCCTATTCTGGGATCTCACTTTGTGATCATGTGAGTCAATACTCCTTAATAAACTCCCCTTTATGTATATACATCTATCCTGTTAGTTCTGTCCCTTTAGAGAACCCTAATACAGTAGTAGATGAGTAATTGTGTTTTGTGATAACCTAGCAGTTAGCATGGAACCACTCAGTCATCTGTGAAGTGTTTATTTGCTATGTCATGTCAACAATGTATATATTTTTCTACCTGTGGACAAAAGTCAAAACTCTGGCAATATCATTTTGTAGTTTCTATAGAAATATGCCATTTTCTATTTTTAAGATTCTTAGGATTCCCCAGAAGCTGTTTGTAAGCAGGCAGCAATATTAACAGACAGTAGTCAGACCATCAGTTAGTCTGTTCTAAAATATACGTGTGAAATGGATTCAGCTATTAACTTTGTCACAACAAAGCACTTAAGAGTTTTAAATAGGTCAGCAAAGCATCTCTAGAATATTTAAAACGTATTCTGAAGATACTTCGCCTGGTTCTCCTGGCACACATCCTCTGGGACATAACACGTTAAAGAATTACAATGATAAATTGACTTTTAGTAATATCATGTGTGTGCTTACAGTTAACCATGCACTACATGTATGATTTAATCCTTTATTTTTTTTTCAGAATGGCCTCTTTACCTTGGTGAATTCTATAGAAGTCTATAGACTTCTATCTGTAGTGACTTCAGGAATAATGACCTGCTTACTAATGACCTGCTTGTTACATGTATGAGTTAAAACCGCATCAAAGGTGTGGAGATGCTTAATTTGGAATTTCTATCTAAGCAAATAATTATTTGCCTGGCGAGGTGGTTTCAAGTCATTTTACCTGTAAAGCAAAAGGAGTTTCTGGAAGCTCTAACTACAATCTAGATTTAGTCTTAATGTGAAACAGTAAGACAATCACATTTAAGTAATCTTATCTCCTTAGTTTCATCTTGAATGTGATATTTTCTCAGACGCCTTGTTTTTAATGATGTTGAAAATTTTGGGGAGTACTGGTGAGATGTGTTATAGAATGTCCCTCAGTCAGGTTCTGTTTGATACTTTTCTGATGATTAGGCAAGGGTTATATTCTGGGCGGGAGGAAGGACAGAGAAGTAAAGTTCCACTTCTAACACGTCATATTCATAATACATTCTGTTGATGTAACTTAAATCACTTGGTTGAGGCAGTGTTTTCCAAGTTTCTCCGCTTTGAAGTTACTTTTTGCATCTTCCATACTGTACTCTGGAATAAGGTGGAATAAATGTGGCTATGTACAGCTCACATTTAAGGAGTGGAGAATTATGCCAAACATTTGAGAGTGATGCTTAGCTACATAAAATATTTGAAATTCTTCTGCAAAGAGAATTTTTCTACTTTCCCTCATTTATATATTTATTCAACTATTAATGTCCATATGATATTACAAACATTTTATACCTTGACTTATAATTTAATAATACTATATTTTATTGCCAAAATTATTTCAGTTTTGTCCATTGAGAGTCTTTCAGTTGGCTCCTGTGTCTCTTTTCCATATTTTAATCCTTGTGGATTTTCTTTGTAATTGTGGGTTTTTTTCTTTATTAACTTATTCTTTTATTGTTGTTTTTACTTTATGTTTTGCAACATTGTTATTCTTTGTTTATAGCTCACAAAATCATATTTCATAATAAAGTAACCTACTTTGATATATTTCCTTATTTTACCTTTTAGCTTTATTTTCTTTTAAAATTTTACTTATTGTGGTAAGAACATTTAAATTAGATCTGCCCTGCTAATAAATCTTTAAGTGTAGAATACAGTACAGTTAACTATGGAGACAGTGTTTTACAGCATACCTCTAAAACATATTCATTTTTTACAATTGAGACTTGAGGCCCACTAATTAATAATTCTCTATTTCCTCCTCCCCTCACACTCCAGCAAGCCACAGTTTACTTTCTTATTCTATGAGTTTGACTATTTTAGATATTTTGCATAAGTGTGATCATGCAGGATTTGTCTTTCTGTAACTTGCTTATTTCACTCAATGTGTCTTCAAAGTTTATCCATGTTGCTGCATAGTGTTAAGATATCCTTTTCTAAAGTTGAGTCATATTCCACTATATGTATGTACCATTTTCTTTATTCATTTATCCATCAATGCATGTTTAGGTTATTTCCATGTCTTGGCTATTGTGAATATTGTTTCCATGAACATAGTGTTGCCAATATTATTTTAGGATTATAATTTAAACTTTTTGGATAAATACCCTGAAGTGGAATTACTGAATCATATGGATGTTTTATTTCATAATTTTTTGGGGAATCTCCATACGGTTTTCCATAGTGGCTGCAATATTTTGTATTCCTGCCAACAACGAACAAAGGTTCCGTTTTTACACAACCTCACCAACACTTGTTGTCTTTTGGTTTTTTTGATGACAGCCATCCTAGCAGGTTTTAGGTGATACCTCATTATGGCTTTAATTTGTATTTCCCTGATGACTGGTGAAATTGACTGTAATTTCATATAGCTGTTCATATGTCTTCTTTGGAAAACATGTCTGCTCAAGTCTTTAGCCCATATTTTGACCAGGTTATTAGTTTATTTTGGAATTTAGTTGGAGGAGCTCCTTTTATATTTTGGAAATTAACCCCTTACCTGATATATGCTTTGCAAATATTTTCTCCCATTCATAAGTCTTCTCTTTACTCTGTGATTATTTCTTTTGTTGTGCAATAGCTGCTTAGTTTAGTGTACTTCTCTCTGTCTTTCTTTTATTGTTATGTTTTTGGTGTCATATCCATGAAATCATCTGCAAGACCAATATCAAGAAGGTTTTTTCATATTTTTTTCTTCCGGGAGTTTTAGTTTTAGGTCCTCAATCCATTTTAAATTGGTGGTGGTTATTGTTGTTTGACACAGAGTCTGGCTCTGTCACCCAGGCTGGAGTGCAGTGGCACGATCTCAGCTCACTGCAACCTCCGCCTCCCGGGTTCAAGCCATTCTCCTGCCTCAGCCTCCCGAGTAGCTGGGATTACAGGCACCCACCACCTCACCTGGCTATTTTTTTGTATTTTTAGTAGAGACAGGGTTTCACCATGTTGGCCGGTCTGGTTTCAAACTCCTGACCTCAGGTGATGAACCTGCCTTGGCCTCCCAAAATGCTGGGATTACAGGTGTAAGCCACCGTGCCAGGCTTAAGTTGATTTTTATGTAAGGTAAAACATTTTTATGTTAGGTAACATTTTATATAAGATAACATTTTTATGTTTAGGTAAGACTTAATTTCATTATTCTGTATGTGGATATCCAGTTTTCCCCACTGCCATTTGTTCAAGAGATTATCATTTTCTATTGTGTATTCTTGGCACTCATCAAAAATAGGTTGACATTATATATATGGATTGATTTCTATGCTCTGTCTTCTATTCCATTGCTCTATATGTCTGTTTCTATGCCAATTAAATATTGTTTTAGTTGCTATAACTTTTTAATACACTCTGAAATCAGGAAGTGTAATGCCTCCAGCATTTGTTCGAAAGATTATTTTGGCTATTCAGGGTCATTTGTGTTATAAATTTTAGTAATTTAAAAAATATATTTGTACAAATCTTAAGGAGTTCATCATTATGGAATTTTTGTGGAATGTCTATACATTCTGTCGGTACCAAATGTTCCATGCCCCTTTGTACATCTTCTGCCCCCTCCCTAGATTTGGCCATTTCTGCAAGGAGCTCTGATTCCTTTGAGCTACATTAGAAACCAAGATTTCAATGCTAGATATGCTTGCTTCTCCTGGGGAAGTCTTGCTTCTGCGTTTTCTCAGTGAAAGAGCAGGAAAGTATGAGTATATCTACTAAACCATGTATACACATATGCCTATGATTATTTCGATGTGTAAACGTATATATATATTTTTTTTTTCTTTTTTTTTTTTGCGATGGAGTTTCGCTCTTTTTGCCCAGGCTGGAGTGCAATAGTGTGATCTCAGCTCACTGCAACCTGCGCCTCCCAGGTTCAAACGATTCTCCTGCCTCAGCCTCCCAAGTAGTTGGGATTACAGGCATGCACCACCATGTCCTGCTAATTTTGTATTTTTAGTAGAGACGGGGTTTCTCCATGTTGGTCAGGCTGGTCTTCAACCCCTGACCTCAGGTGATCCACCTCCCCCCACCCGGCTTCCCAAAGTGTTGGGATTACAGGCGTGAGCCACAGAACATGTGAATCTTTATTAAGCTAAGCATGGGCTCATTTTGATGTCTCTAACTGTAGTTTATGACTACATAGATAATTCCAGCCTCTTGTCCTTGCTCATCTGTAACCTCACTCCGCAAAAGTAGGAACTTTTGTCCTCACCATCTTCCATTCAATTATTTGATTTTTCAATTTCATTACATATGTATACTGCATCAGAATTGTTAAGCGTACCCCATGAGAAAAAATACATATCAGTTAGAGTATAGGGCTATGTATTCTTTATTTTTGTTTTAGTCACAAAGTCCAGTCATTTTCAAAGTTACTAAATTCAGCAGCACCTTTTCTCCAAGTTTCTTCAATGATATCTACATTCTGTCCAGGGACTCCCCTAACATTTTAAAAAGAAAAAGTTGGCTGGGCACAGTGGCTTACGCCTGTGATCCCAGGACTTTGGGAGGCTGAGGCAGGTGGATTACCTGAGGTCAGGAGTTCAAAACCAGCCTGGCCAACATGATGAAACCACTTCTCTACTAAAAATACAAAAAAATTAGCAGGGTGTGGTGGCAGGTGCCTGTAATCTCAGCTACTCAGGAAGTTGAGGCAGAAGAATCGCTTGAACCTGGGAGGCAGAGGTTGCGGTAAGCCAAGTTCACACCACTGCACTCTAGTCTGGGCAACAAGAGCAAAACTCCATCTCAAAAAAAAAAAAAGGTGCATATATTAATATTCACTTTTTTGTGGTCCTAAGTTCTATAGTTTTTGACAAATGCCTAGTGTCATGCACTTACTATTACAGCATAATACAGAATAGTTTCATCACCCTAAAATATCCCCTGTACTTTGTCTATTCAAATTTTCTCCCTCTCCCAAATTCCTGGCAACCACTGATGTTTTGACTATCTCTATCTTTTTGCCTTTTTCAGACTTTCATATAAATTAAATAATACATTATGTAGTCTTTTCGGGATTATTTATTTTACTTAGAAATATGCTCATTCATCTAATTTTTATCACTGAAAAATATTCCATTGTAAGAATGCACATATATTAATTTCTCTATTCACCTATTGATGAATATCCATTTATTTCTAATTTTCATTGATTATGAATAAATTACATAGTTTTTTTGTACTTGCATACCTTTTCAAATAAGTTACATAAATATTTAGGAAGACAGTTGCTAAGTCACATGGTAAGAACATGTTGAGCTTTGTTAGAAACTGCTAAACTGTCTTCCAAAGTACTATACCATTTGTATTACCAGCAGTAATAAATGAGAGTTATTGCTCTTCCATATCCTTGCCAGGAATTGCTATGTCAATTTTTTAGGGTTAGACTTTTTTTTCTTTAGTTATTTATGCTGAAATGTGATAGGTTTAGCCATTGTAATAGGTATGTCATGGTACCTCATTATCATTTTAATTTGCATAATTATCTTTTGTATGCATTAAAGTATTTAAAAATTACTTTCTGAAATGATTCTGAGTGTTTTCCTTTTTGCACTCCAATGATAAATTTTGGAACAAAGTGGCTGGCAGGGAAACCAATATAATTCCGTTTCTTAATTTAGATGATATTTGGACTGGGCCTACATTTCTGTTTCTTTGCTCAAAAGCACTGAGAAAAAGTATTAAATATTTGTTCCAGGACTTACATACTTCCAGAGATTAGACTATAAACTAATATTGCTTTATTTTGGAAATGAATGTATTACTCACTAATCATTAAGACTCACTACTATATTTTCAATTTGTTTCCACCAATCCAAATGCATTATATCGTAAACTCTGTCAAATCACAATCCATTCTCCCTGAAGGACTCATCTTAAACTTATTTATCTTAGCTCCTAAAATCCTTCAAGTAATCTCTGACTTTCCTCTCTCTCAAGATGATGTTATTTCCTGGTAGGACTAATAGCCCTATCTATGATTTTTAGCCTACTTTTTTGATGGTATTTTGGGGAATCAATAGTCATCAATAACACACTAACCTTTCTAAGCTTTCAAGATTCAAAACAAAATGTCAAATCTCCCCTCTTTTTGGCTGATATTAAAGCATGAGAACTACTCTTAACTTATTTTTAACCTTTGACCTGATTGTTCAATACCTATTAAATGTCTGGGAAACAGTAAAACATATATGTGTGTATAGGTTTTCTAAGACTGTGTGTTCTACTCTCTCTTCTAAAGAACACTAAAAGCTAAGCTGAATGCTAAAAGCCAAGCTCTTGTCTTGAGTCTTGATTGTCCATACACCAGGTTTGACCAACTGTACTTTGAACTGTACTTTGGTGTTAGCTTTTTGACTGAGACATGAGTTTCCAATAAAGTACGGCCCTTTAAAACTCATGATTATATAATGAATGATGTTGTTTGTTTATCACACTAAAGTATTTTCTCTAAGATGAGCATATGAATTAGCTCTCTGCCTCACTTGCAGAACAAATCTCATTTCTTTTTTTTTTTTTTTTTTTTTTTTTTTGAGACGGAGTCTCGCTCTGTCGCCCAGGCTGGAGTGCAGTGGCGGGATCTCGGCTCACTGCAAGCTCCGCCTCCCAGGTTCACGCCATTCTCCTGCCTCAGCCTCCCAAGTAGCTGGGACTACAGGCGCCCGCCACTACGCCCGGCTAATTTTTTTTGTATTTTTAGTAGAGACGGGGTTTCACCGTTTTAGCCGGGATGGTCTCGATCTCCTGACCTCGTGATCCGCCCGCCTCGGCCTCCCAAAGTGCTGGGAACAAATCTCATTTCTTATTGCTCAAATCTCATTACTCATTTATCAGTAATTACTTTGATTTTTACTGTATGGATGCTGAATATACAACTAAATATTTTTTTCTTTCCACCAGTAGACTAATATGTCTTCTACCAAAAGTAGATGAAAAGGATGTCATACTCTGAATTTTCTGCTGTAAATATATCTTTGATTTTACCTTACTTTCTAGCTTGAATTTTACATTCTCTATTTAAACTGTGGTTTAATATAGTTTGTTTGCCAATATCACATATACCTGTTGTAATTAACTGCTTAATAATAGTCCATGGTCTGACTCTGACTCTTCACACTCCCAGTGATGGCTGATTCTATTTGCCTTCACCTCTCTGCTTCCATGAATAAAACTGCACATTGAATATGCATGTGCCTGCACCTTTTGGAATAGTGTAAAAATTTGTGCTGTGTACCTGAATGTGAAATTGTTGGTTCATAGGCTATTAATATACTTATAGACTAAATAGTTTTAGTTTGCTCTCTGGAGTGACTGCCATCTGTAGGATGTGAGGTTACCTATACTCTACATCAATACTTGGTATTACCTTTTTTTGATTTTTACCAATACCCTGGGTATAAAATAATAGTTAACTTTCCTTTATTGTATTCCTCTCATTACTAAAGAATTTGGTGATATTTTTGCTAGATTTTGATATTCTTTAAAAACTACTTGTTTGTATACAATATCCATTAATGTTTTGAAGTTGCTATTTTGCTCTTGTGAATATGTAGAAGTTGCTTGCACAGTAGAAGCAATAATAACTCCCTTGTTGCTTTCAGATATTACAAATGTCTTCTATATTCTCTAATATGATTATTAACTTTGTCATGGAGTTCTTCATTATAGAAAACATGAAAAAACTTTCCTCATTCTTGATAATTGATGGATATAAATTCCTATGGTTTTTTCTATTAATTCTTTAACTTTTCACATGGAGTTTGTGTTATGTAGTCCATGTTTGCATATGAAATTCCATTTTATATTTTTTCTCTATAATGAGTCAGCAATCTAATACTACCTACTAAAGAACTCATAATTTTCTTAATAACTTATGGTGTCAATTTTATGTTGTATGAAATTTTCACATACACATAGATGTGCTGTTAAGTTTTGGTGCTGCCTCCTGTGGCTGCTTCTCTCCTCTCGTTCTCACGGCTGCCTCCTGTGGCTGCTTCTCTCCTCTCGTTCTCACGGCTGCCTCCTGTGGCTGCTTCTCTCCTCTCGTTCTCACTGCTGCTTCCTGTGGCTGCTTCTCTCCTCTTGTTTTAACGCCATCGCTACTGCTGTGGCTTTACAGCATATCTTGGCGTCTTGTGCATAAGCCAACCAGTATTCTACTGCCCATTTTCATTTTATAGTCTCTCTTTAAGGTTGACTTAGCTATTTGTCTTTATTTATGTCTTGATAATATCTCTATAGGCATATTTTACTAATTCTAAGATTTGTTTTAATAAATAATATGAATGTCTGCAAATGCATAGTTTTTCAGTATCACCATTAACTTTAGTTTGTAGTGTAAATATATATTATATATATGTGTGTACATTATATATATACATATACACATATATGTGTGTGTATATATATGTTATATATTGTGTATATATACATTAGATATGTGTGTATATACTATATATATACACCATAATGTGTGTGTATATATATATACCATAATGTGTATGTGTGTGTATATATATATATATATATACACCATAATGTGTGTATATATATATGGTTGACCCCTGGACAACACAGATTTTAACTGAGCAAGTCCACTTATACACAAATTTTCATCCTCTTCCACCCCTGAGACAGTAAGACCAACCCCTCCTCTTCCTCCTCAGCATAGTCAACATAAAGACAACACGAATGAAGAACTTTATGATAATCCACTTTCACCAAATAAATAGCAAGAATATTTTATCTTCCTTATGATTTTCTTAATAACGTTTTCTTTTCTGTAGTTTACTTTATTGTAATAATGCATTATATAATCCACGTAACATACAAAATACATGTTAATTAACTACTTATGTTTTTGCTAAGACTTTGGGTCCACAGTAGACTATTAGTAGTTAAGTTTTGGGGGAGTAAAGAGTTATACATGGATTTTCCGATGCATGAGAGTTGGTGCCTCTTACCCTTATGTTGTTCAAGAGTCACCTGTACATATATATCTATATATAGTGCTACATGTATGTATACTACAAATACATATTTATATGCATACATGTTGTATACATATACACAAATAAATATATTCAGTGCTAAATTATATGTCATAGTAGAAATTATAGCAACACTCTAGATTATAATCTAGCCATTTTCAGGGAGATGGTAAGGAATGAATGTCCCAGTGTAGCTTGTTGTTTAGTTTTAATTTTATCAGTACTTTACCTTAGCAGGGCTTTTGCTTATCCTTCCTATGCAGATATCAGCCCTGGTAGTTCCCTGCAGTGAGGAGAGGCACTGATTATCCCAGGCAAGTGAATAGGCGAAAAGCAGGAACAAAATCTAAAGCTTTCTTTCCGCCCTCGCTGCTGCCTTTTGGCAACCATCTGCCCCAGGCTGAAGCTTCTAATGTATTCCACATACAAATTCTATAGAGCATTCTCAGAGACTTTGTGAAATGTTTACTTGTAGTTTTGTCGCTTGTTTTTTGTTTTGTTTTGAATAACTTTGGTTTGTGTTGGTTTAATTGGTTCCTAAAATCATTGTATGACTCTTGATTCTACAGTGTGCCCATGATTGAAATTTCTAGGCAAACATCCCCCGCTCATAGTGTCTTTGCAGTCTTCGCTTCTTTTTACCAAAAATATCAAAATCAATTTAGTGTTGTAGTAATTACCATCAGTCACTTCAACAAGTTTCAGATAATTTATCTGAACTGCTTTTTATTTTATTTTGTGTCTTCATCTACAGAACACTCATATTTTCTCCCAAATGAGTTCTTGTGTTCTGTTTCTTAAAGAGAAACACATGATTTTTAACTTTATTCTTCTCAGTGTTCCGTGGTTAAATCCTACATGTCTTCTTCTACCATGGAGTCTAGCTTCCCAGATGCCAGGGAAAATTCAGAGGTCCCACTCAGAAAATAATGAAGGTAATAGAGCCTAGATACTAAAAATATGACATACAAGAGTTAAGTACAGTTTATTTCAGCCATTCATCAAGCAGCATATTTAATGCTGAGAAAAGCTGTAAGTAGTCAGAGGCTTATTATTATTTATACTGTATTCAGTGACATCAATGAAACAACAAGCCTGAATGGATGACAAGTGCTTTGTCTTCTCATTTTTTCATCAAAGACTCAGTTAAACCAAGGTGTCTATAGTTGTGAACAGATAAAACTTCCTAGAGACTTTTGCATTACCAGGAAAAGAACACATTTTTTATTGAAATATAGAATTTTTATTTCTTAGCTTATATGTCTATATAGCTGACATTTTGACAGTTATTTAATTTTCATCTACATATGGCAAATGAGTATGATTCTCAGAGATTCTCAGAAAGAGTTATGATGTGAATTTCATTCTATTGCCATGTAAAATTACTTATTTCTCTCTTATCATAAAAGCAGGCATTTTCCTATGTAAAATCATGTATGCTTTCAATTCATTGTTTCCAAATGTCTTGTTCTTATATGAAATAATGGCTCTTTTTAAATATAATTGAGACAAACTATATTTTTTCAGAAAAATGATAAAAAGTGAAAATGGATAAAGTGCATTCATGTGAATATATGAGTTACCTGTGTCTAGAAGCTAGAAACATCCTAGAAAAAAAATTGATCCAATATTTTATATAGAGAGAGTAAGTATGTAATGAATGGATATATAGATTGTTTTCCTTCTTTGCCATTATGGACTATTATTAGTCCATGAAACGACTTTACCATCGTTGAAGTTTTGTGATTTTTAAATATCATATAATCTTTTTCTTTAAATGCTTATCTACATTTCCTTATATATTCCCAATGAAGTCTACATAGATGCATATCATCAATATAAGTTCTATATTTCAAAATGAATCATTTATATTATCTTTTGGATTTGCTCCTATAGTAAGGCTGTTGACTTAACTGGGAATAAGAAAACATTTTGACCTTCTGTCAGTCAGCCAGTCAGACACTGATGATACAAGAACATAGAAATGGTAGAGGATCAGGTAGTGGTAATGCCAAAGACTACTTTCGGTAGCCCCTGTTGGGACTTATACAGAGATATTGGGGTGTACGGTAAACCCCAGATTAGAGTGAGGGCTCGTAGGGCCTACGGGGCCAATGGACTTGATATCTAAATCTCAATGTAACATTTTCCTCTACAAATAAATAAAGCAAGTATTCAGGTTAGCTAAGACATACAGAAATATTGGTCAGCAAGTCTGCACATGGTAAAATTTATATAAACAGTGTAGACAAAAAATATGGAGGTTTTGTAGGCATAAAAAGATTTAGAAGATATATGCTTTAAAGATTAATAGAATTTTGCTAGTTAGTAATAGAAAGGAGGTAATATAATCAAGGACATTCTTATTGCCTCCCCAATATTCATTCAACCCCAGGTTATTAGTTTAAACCAGTCATGATTTTCATTTCTCTCTGTTAATAATTGGCTTAGAAAAGAGAATTAGTCTCAGTTACGGCCAGAGACAAATGAAGGGAAATCTATTGGTGGTGTGAGGTTGGAGCTAGCTTTGGGTAAGGGTACTTGTCTCTAACACAAAGTCATAGGAAAAGCTCGTTCATCGCCTTACTTTCAACAATTGTATGTCTAGATGTGATGCCCAGAACAACTGAAGCTATCTTAGTACCAGCTTAAAGAGTCAAAGCCAAGACATGTAGGGTGGAAACACAGAGAACATTGTGTAGCTGATGTAACCAATTCTGGGGCTCAACATACCTCTGGAGTTATTATGTAAGCAACTTTATGAACAAAATAACCTCAATTAATTGGGAGTAACTGGATATCTAAGATGAATCATTAAATTGAGATGTCAGTGGATTATCAGTTCTACTTAAGGTAGAACTAACTATTACGTGGAAATGCTGAAACTCAGAAAATAAGTCAGGAATAATAGCACAAATGTAGATCTTTATTCTCAGAGGTAAATGTAGGGGTAATAGTATTTCCAGTATAATAGTTAAAGAGAAAAAGATAGTAAAAAAGAATGAGCACTGTAATCTCAGCACTTTGGGAGGCTGAGGCAGGTGGATCACCTGAGGTCAGGAGTTCAAGACCAGCCTGGCCAACATGGTGAAACCCCATCTTTACTAAAAATACAAAATTTGCTGGGCGTGGTGGTGCGTGCCTGTAATCCCAGCTACTCTGGAGGCTGAGGCAGGAGAATTGCTTGAAGTCGGGAGGCAGAAGTTGCAGTGAGCCTCTTGGCATGATCTTTCATGCCATTGCACTCCAGCCTAGATGACAAGAGTGAAACTCCGTCTCAAAAAATAATAATAATAAATAAATAAATAAAAAAGAATGAGCAATGCCTATATTTATCAGATAAGAAGAGAAAAAGTATTACCACAAAAGGAAATTCAGGAAGGTCACAAAAGAACTAGAACTTTCTGGTGTTGCAGACACAGGAAGAAAAACATGAACAGAGGAATGGGGCTGCCCAAAGTATTAAAATAATGTCAAACAATGAAATGTACAAAACAGTGTTAGACTCTTTTAAAGAAGGTATCAGGGACCATTGAAAGGCCTTAAATTTTTCATCCAACATGTCCCTTACAGAACAAATCAAGAAAGAGATAACCATACTAAGAAACACATAAAGAACATATGAATACTTAGGAATTTTTTTCTTGGTCTTTTGAGGAGATCACAGCCATTTGAATTCTAAATCAGTAAAGAAATTTTTCAATGACATATTGTAAATAGTGTATGTCTATTCTCAGACAAGAAGATTATAGAATTGACTGTTGACCTGTTCAAAGGACATTCACTATTTCTCACCCAATATTTCTCTCTCAGTTTAGATTCCCCTTCTGTTGTCACATACATTATGAAAGGACTTTCATTGCTGGGAAAGTCAGTGTGAATTTTACTTTAACAGATGGTTACTGTTCAGGCAGATTGGAATCAGCAATGTGCACTTGTTTTAACATGTTATTTTCATTTTAATTGCACACCAGGAACCTAATAAATAAAAATACCCTCTGGCTAATCTGGTGTGTGTGTGTGTGTGGGTGTGTGTGTGTGTGTGTGTTTTCTCTAAGTTTTCTGGTGTCACTAGCTCTGCAGACAAATACTAAATATTAATAAAGATAATATCTTATAATAATATAAACTCTGTACAAAGTCTGTCTGATGCCACAGATAACTTTGGGTTAAGAGGAAATGAGAAGCAGGGGAAAAGTGTAACAGTAAAACAGGTGGCAATAGCTTTATTAAGAGCCCTGCTGTGGCCGGGCGCAGTGGCTCACGGCTGTAATCCCAGCACTTTGGGAGGCCGAGGCGGGCGGATCACGAGGTCAGGAAATCGAGACCATCCTGGCTAACACTGTGAAACCCCGTCTCTACTAAAAATACAAAAAATTAGCCAGGCGCAGTGGCGGGCGCCTGTAGTCCCAGCTACTCGGGAGGCTGAGGCAGGAGAATGTCGTGAGCCCGGGAGGTGGGGCTTGCAGTCACCCGAGATAGCGCCACTGCAGTCCGGCCTGGGCGAAAGAGCGAGACTCTGTCTCAAAAAGAAGAGAAAAAAAAAAGTCCTCCCGCTTTTATGTAGGTGGAGAAATCAGACACATACATGCATAAATAAAAATATAGAATTAGTAAATGAAAAAGAAATGATGGAGTGATGTCTCCAGCTACTGAAGACTTCTTTTGTTGACTGGGCCTCTAAGCAGCAATATAAATGTTTAGAGAGTCACTAGCATAAGATCCTTTAGTTAAAGGAGATTATAGGGTCAATCTATATTAAAGGTATATCTAATGTTCCATTTTTTTATTACTACAATGTGAAAAGATATCCAGAGGCATTAGGGAGAACATGTAAGAAATATATGTCTTTGACTAGCCCAATTCAAATTCTACTCTTCTAGGTCTATATTGAAGATATGAATAAATCAACTTACTAAGAATGGAAAAAGATATACAGAATTTTACTAATTAATATCTATTTGAGATATTATTTAAATGGAAATCAGTATTTCAGAGCTGGAAGAAACTTAAGAGGTTTTTTTCCCTAATTTTACAGCTGGGCAAAGAGAAAGAAAAAATCATGGACGAGGCTTCTAGCCTCTCCTTAGTTTAGTCCCACCTCTACTGTATAATATATACCTTGGGAAATTAGTTAAAATATTCAAATCTCACTTTCTTCAGCTATACATTTTGAATAGAAATAACTCTCCTCACAGAGTTGTTATAATCAGTAAATGAAACAAAATTTATTCAAGCAACATAGCTCAGTACTCAGCATTGAGTAGTTTATGAATACTGGATCTTTTTTCTGTTCCAGATATTATCAAATAGTAGTTAAATTGGTTCCATATACTTTCAAGTTTTGAAACTGCTTTTAAATTAAAAAAAAAAAGTTGCTATCTGAAGCTGTTCCAGTTTAGGGATAATAAACATGGGGTTTCTACACCTGGATTAAAAATTGTTTTAAAATTTAAAAACAAATAAAAAGCAAAAGACCCAGTTCAAATCAGGTTATGCTTTTTTCCTGATCTCCTATCTTTACTATAATGGTTGATATCACCAGCACTATATGGTGCCCTATTTTGAAATCTCTGAGCTAGAAAAGAAAATACTTTTTCATTCATGGAAAGTATTAAGAAGGAGGCTACTTAGGATCTAACACCAACAACCCTCCCCAAGCAAAGACTAGTAACTGAGAGATGGGCTAAGAGTGATTGCTGAGCTGCTTCTCCCTTTTCTCTTTTCGGTTTTCTTGGAATATAAATTGAAGATCTATCCTAATGTCCAATTAGTACATTATTTTCATTGATAAATAATATCCCAAATTAAATGTATCAATATTATTATCTCATATCTCTGTGTGTCTCTCTCAAAAGATAGATATTTGAATGATTCATGGAGATTATAGATACAGATATAGATATATAATAGGACAAACAAGTATGCTGGCTGCAGTTTTTTGGTGAAAAAGATTACCTTGATTATTTATTCCATCTACTCTATATTGAAGGGGAGATTTATAATAGACCTTTTCAAGGGAGACTTACACACTATGATGTCTAATTTATGGCAGTTTTCTTAGATTACTTTATAAACATATAAGATCTCTAAAGAGAAATTTCAGTAAGTTCCTTGAGGACCAAGACATTCAATTCTAGGTTGTGTTGCCTATTCTTAGTACAAGGACTAGCATACAGAGATCTACTCCCAGGATAGATATTTATAAATTATGAAGGGACATTGAGATCATGAGAAGTAATTTAAAATAAAGTTTCCATAAATAAAATTTACTTTTATATTGCAACCCGAATAAAGGCACATCTCTGCTAAGGAAATTTGAGGAAATGAATCACTCTTCTGTGTCATGTAGCAAACCAGCTGTATTTTGTCATATTGGTAGTATTACAGAGACAGCTTTTAATTTTTAAAGGACTGTACATCTTCAATCCTGTTCCTGAGACATCTATCAAATGATAAAGCCTCAACTACTTCAAGTATCCATGAAAGCATATTCATTAAATTTACAGATATCTTTAAACATAAACTCATTTGGCCATAAACTCAAATGTTACCAGATGCCAGACACATAGTAAAGGGAATGAAATAATTGGATTTAAGGCAATTGGGAGTAGGTGGAACTGTGAGGAACTGGAGTCCATATGCTTATTATGAGGACATTTTTAAAAACTTATAACACTATACACGTAAAAAGGTCAGTAGGGAAAATTATTTAAGCAATCTGCTTGCCAATTTTCAAGCTTTTTTAATAACTAATATTTCATATGGTACACGCTTAACTCTCGTTCAGTAATTCTGGCCTTTTTCATTCTTATACCTTCACTTAAAATGGATTTAATATTTTATCAAAATAATCTTTTTAAAATTTTTTTATTTTCTATTTTTTATTTTTTTCTGTTCATAAGTGCTTTCTATCTACATTGATGTTTCATCAAGTTTTTATATACTAGGATGGCTAAGAAAGGTGTTTTCTCAATATTAATTATGATAATTTGTACTTCGAGGTGGAAGATTTCAGATAATTATTATCCCTTTTTTGATTCATAGTTTTCTTCACTGAGTTTTTTTTTTTACCATATATCCATTTATTTATTTACACAATACATGTTTACTGTTTACTTATTGTTTGTCAATGTTCTAGTGATTGCAAGAATAGCAGTGAACATAGCATACAGAAATCTTTGCCTCCCTGAAACTTAGTAGGAGATGCAAGAAAAATATTAATAAGTGGAAAAACACAGTACTTCAACTAAAGATCATTAATATGAAGAGAAATAAAATAGAGTGGAAATAGGAAATATAAGAATCAGAGGAAATACTATTTTTAATTAGGTGGCTTATGAGCCCAGATCCAGTCAAGAGACATAAACATACCAGTTATTATAAGAGAGAGAATGTATTATAAAGAAATGTTTCACTAGGTTTTGAAGATCTGAGAAGAGTAAAAAGCAGCATTAACATATTACAGCATAGCAACTGCAAAAAACAACTATTTCCTTTAGAACTGTGGGAACAAGGAGAAGACATGAGAAATATTGAAACTAGGATGTTTTTAGGAGGCAACTTCAGAAAGTTGGAACTTGGTCCTATAAGTAGGGGATGCTGCTCCCTTTGTGTTGATGTCTCTGAGATTGGAAAAGAGACTCTACAGGCCTGGAAATCACACCTCTGAGAATAAGGTCTTGCTAAAGGTGTGTGCTGTGTCTGTTTCAGTGAGTATTGGAGAAACTACAGGCTAAAATCCACTGATACTTCCAGACAAATTCTTACTGTCAAATGAGGAAACATTGCCTTGGTGATATTGATAGGAGGCATAAAGAACTGGGAGCAAAAACAGGAAGAGCAAGGAAACAAGAAAAGTATGTTCCCTTTCCCTCTTGCTGGCTTCACCATTCCTATACTCTGTCTCCTGTTGGTAGAGTCTAACAAAGCACCAGCTGGCAAGGAAGAAATGTGTTTTGCAGATCTGTCTCCCTTTATTCGCACAAAACAGAGTGTGGGCTTCGAGTTGAGAGATAATACCTTGGTAGATCCCATTTTTATTCTATTTTTTAAAACTTCTGTGGAATAGTTAGTGTATGTTCTCTTTTAAGCCATAAATAGATCAAAGAGGTTGAGAGGAAAGGGAGAGAAGAGTCAACTGGGTCAGTATACAGACTCTGGCTTATTGTTTTAAAAATATCCATAGTCTAACAATTTTCTCTACTCTGGGCCGGTACAGGGACAATATCCAAAGTATATTAAATGATGTAATTATATATTTTACTTACTTATTTTCCATTCTGAAATGAATTTCTGGTCTTACTTATTAGTTAAGAGGCATGAGGATAAACAGCATATATGGTCATTCCAAACTGGTGAGCTAAGTCACTATTACGATATGTCCTTCCTTTCCAATGGTATGGCGAGAAGTCACTGCTGCAATCAGAGTTTTATTAGATTTGCCTTTTGAAATAAATTGGTTAATGTGTAGAAAATTCCTAAACAGTTTAAAATCTAAGGTGATGTATTCACCTTACCTTGTTTCTCTCTGTGAAGGCCTTATAGTAATTGGCAACTACACTTAATAAATTTTTGCATTAATTTAATGTTAGTAAAAATTATTTTTTCTTCTATCTCTGGAGTATGTGTTCAGGGAGTTGAATAAAATAATTGACTCAACCAATATTTAGCTATTTATTTTCTACATTATGCAAGGGAAAAAGGAAAAGGATTCCATCAGATACAGCACTCAACTTTAAAAGATGCTATTTTCCCAGCATGTAAGCAGTTATTAGAGAAATACATCCATTTATGAATAATATTTTCAAAATAAATCTTAGTCCCAAAATATTGAATATTTGAACATTGAGAGGTATTTAATAAGAATGTCATTTTGTTTGATTTACTATAGCTTTATATGTTAATTAACTTTATTATGGCAATCATTTTATAAAGTGCATACACATATATCAGAATATCAGGTTGTACAGCTTCAATATATACAATTTTCTTTTGTCAATTATACTTCAATAAAGCTGCAAAACCAAATTGATTTTTAAAATGCAATGTCTTGCACATCAACAAAAACATGTATTTGGGGAAGGAAATGAGAAAAGGTGGGGAGGGAAAGTAGGAATGTGAGAGAAAGAAGGAGGGATACCTGTGGGGAGGAAAGAGAAGATGAGAAATGGAGAAATGGATGATGGAAAGAAGAAAAAACCATAGAAGTGAAGGAAGAAAAAAGACAAAGAGGGAAAGCGAGAAGGGAAAGGAATAAAGGGAAAGGGTAGAGAGAAGGAAAAAAGATATAATATTCTTCTTGGAATAAAGTAGTAGTGTTTAGACTAAGTCTTGAAATAACTGGAAATAACAGTCATGAAGTGTAAGATATCTAAAGTGTATAAAAATGAAATAATATGCTTTTTGTTTATTTTTTTCTGAAATAGCTATGAAATATTTAGTTTTTGTTTCATCTTATTAAACAACAGATCCTACAGTAGTTTTTTGGGGTTATTTTAAAAACAATTCATCTTTTGTTACTTGTTCATTTCACATTTAGCTTGATTCAAAGGGACGTTTAGTACGCTTTACCTTATGGCTGAGTGTCTTCTCAGTCACAGAATATAAATGTGAAGATTTTGGTTGAGAAAAGTTTACAGTTAGAAATCTGGGGGTTTTCAAATAATGGTTGAATATCATTGTTGCTGTGCACATTAAAAAATGAAATTTATATGCTTATAATGCAAAAATATATATCATAGCATATGGTAAGATATTTAAACTTAAGTCTACTTGGTCTTTTTGTAATATAGGAGGGGATGATTTTTACATGGAAGAAATAGGTCGGGTTACTTTTTAAAATAGATATTTCAATTATTACACTTAATTTTAAAATTTAGTTATTCTTGAGAAGTTAAACTTATTCTAATTTCATAATTAACTGGTAAAATAAGATTAGTCATTTTACTGGTTTCAATTTATGTTTAGGTTATATATTTGAGAAATTAAAATCTGTTTAAACATCTATTTCTACTTACATAATTAAATTGATTTACACTTCAATCTACAATCAAAAATTTATTTACCTGATTATATTAATCACTTCAAACATTTAGCGAGGAAAATATGTAGATTTTATGAGGAAAATAGTACTACGAATTTAAGCCATGCTTGTAAGTATAATAAAACATTTATAAATGTAGTATCAGTCTTATTTAAGCATTCAAATTAACTTTAAACAAAGTATATATATATAAAATTATATATATAAACCAACTTTAAACAAAGTGTATATACACACACACACACACACACACACACACACGATGCAATGACCCCAAAATCCATTATTATACTTGTGTTACTAATATAAGCAACATGAAACTTTTAATAATATATATATTTTTTCCTTCCATAGTTACAAATGCATTATTTTAAGGGAGTGAAACCTAATGACCATCTCATACCTGCTATGGCAACTTTGATTCTGTAACAGAGTTAATGGCCCAAGATTCTATCTCTTGGATCTGAGTGAAGCTTCCAGAAGACTCCACCCAGACTTGACTTTATTGACCATTACTTACTGAAAGGAACTTTCCAGTGATGCCTTTCCTTTTAACTTGAGTAATCCCACAATCATTGAACATACAATATGTTTTGCCCTTATCATTTCTAGTGTGTATGTGTGTGTGTGTGTGAAAATGAGATAGAAACAAAGATTGGATGCGTTTGGAGAGTAAGAGAATGTTGAATAAAATCCATTTACTCAAACCAATATTTGCCCAGTTAGTTTATAAATTATACAGGTAAAATAACAATAGCATAAGAATTTAATCAAGTAAAACTTTGGACCTTAAAGATGCCATTTTTCCAATGTGGAACCAATAGTTGAAATGTATTTCCATGGGTTTAAAACATTCAATATAAATCTCTGCACTTTCCCTAATATTTTTGTTGTTTGATTTCACCTGTTTAGATTTTTATTAACCCAACTAGACATAGAAGTAATAACTTTACTGTCAAATAAGTATAATGAGACTTAAATGTTGATTAAAATGAGTTAAGCATATAGCTGGGCATGTCCATATTCAACAATTTTTATAAATACCTGAAATTCATTTGTATATGACCATTCTTTAACACATTTTTGAATATCATTATAGATTCTTGGGTTTTCAAATAATTATTGTTTTCACATTTAATTCTTAGATGATCACACCTTGTTCAGAGAAGCTCTTTTAAATTGCCTGCTTTGCATCCCTGAAAGTATTCTTACTGTCTAGCAATGACTCAGTTCTCTTGTTCTATCTTTATTTTCACTGTTCCAAGATGCAGACAACTCTTGGAACTCTATTTCTTTCAGTGTAGAAAGAGGTTAGCATCAAGGAATAGCAGATGAGTGCAAGATTGTAGTAATGAGTAACACTTGTTGGGACACATAAATGAATTATAAAATGCTATTTATAAAGAGTTTTTATTAATAATTTCAAGTTTATTCCATATATGTTTATTTTATTTGAGTATAAAGATTTTAAAACTATTTTTTTCTTTTTCTACTTTCACTCCTCTCCTTTATAACACTTTACCAAGTATTCTATAGTAAATATGTCTGAAAACTCTGGTATTACATAACTGTTTCCTTTGGCCTATATTCCTACTTAAATTTCAGAATCTTCAACAGATACCTAATTGCCCTTTTTTCTTTTTTATGGTATTAATATATTTCATTGTCCATCATTCAGTAGTCACATACTGATACTTCTTGGGCTCTGTGGGAGATGCAGTGGAAGCTTCAATTAGCCAAGTGGAAGTTTCTATTACAAAATAAAAAATGCATTTAGTTAATTTCTTAGCATAATGAATGTGGTTTTAGAGGTTTCAGGATATGCACTATTCAATTCTCATTAGCCTTTTTATTTGTCATCTTTATTCATCAGTTGTGGTGCCACTTGCCATGTAATGTTTTCCTTCATCCGGGTTTGGGCTGTTATAGGTTGATTGGCTGCATCACGCTGTATTTAACTGCTGGAAATTCATTTTCTCAATGAATGTTCACTAACAGATAAACATAAAGAATTTTTACTAAACTCTGCTGAAATCACGCAGCTCTCTAGACAAATAGCCCAGTATATTTATCATAGAGGATGCATTTGAGTAAGCAAAATAGGCTATGTAGTCAAAATTCTTCAGTTATTTCAGTTGCCTTTACCTAAACCTCTCTTTTCTCAACTGATACAAATAAAAACAAAAACAAAAATATCCTGGCAAAAACTAAGAAAATGCAATTAAAGCATTGTTAGGTCCAAAGTTCCCAGAAAGCCATTTAGAACAGCCAGACACACACAAATAGAATTAGTACAGAATTCACACATCCAAAATGAAAAGTTTGAGCAAGTCTTTTATCAGTTCAAAAGCATGAAATATGAGGAAACAGTTAATATAAGAGGCAGAGACTTTAAAGCATTTCCTCAGAGCTATTATAATCAGTCACATCTAATTATTCACATGTGTATGTTGACCATGATAACCATTTTGTGTTCTTCTTTTTAGCATTTCACAGACTGAAAATCCATAAACAAATGAAACAAAGGTGGCTCTGGTGATGATGTCAAAGAAAATAAAGATTGCAGGGGATAGTATTCTTTTTATTCAACTGCGACAACAAAAAATCTCATTTGTGGGTTCATTTAATCTTTGTATTTTCTAATATATAAATACTATAATAATACTTTTTTTTTTTTGAGATGGAGTTTTCCTCTGTCACCCAGGCTGGAGTGTAGAGGCATGATCACAGTTCATGCAATGTCTGCCCGCCCCAGGGGTTCAAGCGATTCTCCTGCCTCAGTCTCCCGAGTAGCTTGGGATTATAGGCACCCCCCACCACACCTGGCTAATTTTTGTATTTTTAGTAGAGATGGGGTTTCACCATGTTGGCCAGGCTGGTCTTGAAATCCTGACCTCAGGTGATACACCCGCTTTGGTATCCCAAAGTGCTAGTAGTACAGGCGTGAGCCACCGCTCCCGGCCCTGTAATAATACTTTCAATTAATCATAAATTGCATCTTTCAAGCCTTAGGTAGATTAAGCATTTGATGGATAGAATTCAACCATCAAAGGAAGAAATGCAGCCAGGTGTGGTGGCTCACGCCTGTAATCCCAACACTTTGGGAGGCCAAGGCAGGGGGATGGCTTGATGCCAGGAGCTCCAGATCAGCCTGTTCAACATTGCAATATCCCATCTCTACTAAATATATAAAAATTAGCTGGGTGTGGTGGTGTGTATCTGTAGTCCCAGCTACTCCAGAGGCTGAGGTGGGAGGATCAGTTGAGCCCAGGAGGTCAAGGCTGCAGTGAACTATGATCCCGCCTCTACACCCCAGCCTGGGTGACAGAGCAAGAACTTGTCTCAAAAATAAATAAATAAATAAATAAATAAATAAAAATATAAATATAAATAAATAAAATAAAGAAGTGGAATTAATATATAGTATGAGCAGATTTTATTTTTTCTTATATTCATTATAAATGTGACTATAGGTTTTGTTAGAAGTTTAAGAGTAAATATTTATAATAGCTTTGGAAATAACTAATCCACTTTGATGATAAATTTGATTTTCTTAGTAATAATACATAAATGGAGGAATTTTTTAAAGATATAAGTGATATTATATAAAAATAATGAGACTATATCAGAAGAAGTTAGGAGGAAATAGTATGCTTTTAATTAACATTTCAAGGAGAATATTCTGAGATATAACTAAGAGAACACATATTCAGAAACAGTCCTTTCACATAATATCTGCAATCAGCATAATCAACATATACTGAGCATTTAGTATGTCCCAAAATCTGCTCTGTCCTTTTATTATCTCGTTTTGTCTTCAAACAACCCTATGAAATGGATGTAATGTTTTTCCTGTGATTTCAGATAATAAAAGTAAGCATTAATAATATTCAGTTATTTCCCTAGGTTCTACATTTGATAATTGGTAGGACTAAAATTTAAAATCATGTTTTTTTAATCCTGTTGGCTTCCGTCTTCACCATACCACTTCCTGTGGTTCATTTTTATAAAACATCTAATAATTGTTCTGATGTCTCTCCTTTTCTACATACAGTTTTTAATGTGGAGAATATTGTATAAGACTGTAAGAGTGATGAGAGTCCTACTGCATAAAACATGATCCTTGACCTACCATCCTTGCTTCTCCCCAAATAGCTGTGTTCTTAGTAAAGCCATATTCAATTCTGTGGTAAATACTCTTAATTCTTCTTGAAATCTCCATGTTCTAGGACTCTAATTTTCCTAGCTTTCTTTATTTTTCTATAAATAACAAATTTATGTATTAATGGTAGGGTTCTGTTTGAACCCTTGGCAAAGTTATTGGTTGAAGTTTTGATAATAAAGTACTATGCTCATGTTTCTTCCACTCACTGAGATTTGTAATGGCTTATGAGGAGAGGAAAAAATAGAAGTAAAATAATAATAATAATAACAACATGTAATATTTGCCATAAGGACTGACTTGTGCACAGTTAGGGTGAGGAAGAGGAACCAGGAGAGCCAAGCCTTTACCTTTCAACTCCTGGACTTTGGCTCAGATTTGGAGGCCACCACTTAGTCTCCACATGTCTTGTTTCCAGCTCTTTCTGCACATGAACATTGCACTTTACTGGTAACCACATATTCTCCTGTATCTTTGCCCACCTTCTTTGTGAAATGTTTTGTATGCCACATTTTCCATATTATATTCAACTTTTGACTCAAATCAAATTGCAACACCTATGAACCCAAGACTGAGACAATAACTCTTTCCTCTATGCATGCACAATTTACCAATATAAATCAGGTGTCTCATTTTATTGTTATTCTAATTTAATATTGAATCTCTTTTGTCAGACTAAACTCCTTAAGTGTATGTGGCCTGTGAAAATCACTTCTGTATTTTACATGCTTGGGTCAAAATAAAGCTTCTATAAATGTGAACTGAATTGGTATAAAGCAGTAGTATTTAATGGATACATTTATTGATCTATCCATCATTGATATATTTTGGATATATTTATTTAGATAATTTTAGATATATTTATTAAACAAATATGTAGTTACTATTTTCAAGACATCATTGTAGGAGTGAAATCCCGTTTCTATCTGTAAGGAATCCTCAGGGAGTTTAAAATGTAGTCTCTAGGATGAAGGAATGTATGACACAAGGAGAAAAGAAAACCACCACTATAAGAAAAGAGACATATACTTATGTCCCCCATGGCGTAATGGACGAATTGTAAGGGATCAGGGATTATAGAAATGAAAGAAGTCACTTCTACCTAGCATTATCATAAGATATTTTATCTAGAATGTGGTCTATAATTTTGAGCCAGGCTTTAAAAAATGTACAGAACTTCAAGGTGGAGCTTGAGACGAGAAGGTGAACATAAAGGCAAAATAGGGACTGACAAGGGCAAATCTGTTGAAGTACAAATGTGTACAGGTCAAAAGCCCAAGAATGTGATTGACAGTTTTGCTAAAGATTGGCCTACAAAATGAAGAATAAGAGCAGTTAAGAATGTCACAACCAACAAAACACTGAAAGTCTTCATTCTGTGAGCAAGAGACTTGAATGTGGAAGTGATAAAATTAAAGAGGTGTTACAAAATATTAATCTAGAAGGGATGTTCAGAACCGATTGAAGGAATAAGAGACAGGCCTCTACAATAATTTAGTTGCAAAGCATGAAGTGATAAATTCTTTAAAGAGAAGAAGCAGTGGACATAGAGAGTAATAGTGACAGGAGACAGACAAATTCCTAGGCAGAGACAAGTCCCTGTCTTGCCAAAGACCGTTTAAAGCCTGAAAACCAAGCTGTTGGTTCCATATAGAGTCTATAACCAGAGTGAAAACTTCTATACCCATCTCACCCTCTCTCTCTCTCAATTGGTTCCTTCTGAATGATGCCTTTAAACCAATTGAATGGTGCTTTTTCCAAAGCCAACCCATGGACCAATCAGCATGCACTCCCCAATTCTAAGCCCATAAAAACCTGGACTCAGCCTCACAGACGGCTACCCACTCTCAGGTCCTCTCTTTTGCAGCTGAGAGCTTTCCTTCTGTTGCTCAATAAAATTCTTCTCTGCCTTATTCACTCTCTGGTGTCCACACACCTTATTCCTCTTGGTTGCAGGACAAGAACCCAGAACCCACTGAGCTGCGGGCAGTGGGAATAAATGGGCTGTAACACACTGCCACTTGCCAGACTATGGAAGAAAGAGAGCTGTAACATGCTCCTGCTTGCTGAGCTGCAGGAGTGAAGAACTGCAACATCTAACATCTCAGACCTTGGGACTCCTCAGGTAAGAGCTGTAACACCCCTTGGGGTTTCGCAATTGCTGTCATCTCCAAGTTTTCGGATGCCACTGCGTTCTGTTTGTCTAGATGCTGGTGCCCAAGGCAGAAGTCACTAGCAGTATGCTTGGTCCAGCTGTGGGCTAAGCATGGAGCCATGGCAGGTGCAGTATTCGGGCCGAGGCATGAGCCAAGTGCAGCCTGCTGGGCCAAGTGGGCAGGGTGAGCCCAGCAGGCCCTAAGCAAGGCTTGGGCAGAGATGACGATGGCCGTAGAGATTTCTGGCTGGTGAAGCAACACTGAAGGAGTCCTGTAACGGGAGGATAGGCTAATGGTTATAAGTTGTGTCTTAGGTGTGGTAATTAACAATGAACCCACAGAAATTTTCTGTTTTAACCAGGTTGAAATAAAAGGAAAACAGTTCATCATCTTCTAAAGGAAGCTTAAATTGGAAAGTTGGATGTTAGATTTTTTCAGAAACGCATACATTTTTTAAGTAATAAATCTAACATTCTTCTCCAATAGCCATTATGATTGATATCTCATATTCCGTATACAATGATAAAATTATTAGCATGATTACGTGTTTGATATAAATAGAATTAGTTTAAATAAAAATATATAAAGAGTAAAGAAAAATGGACTTATGTACTCATTATTGGATTGATTCATCTGGAATGATAAATGTATTTTATGTATTTTTTTTTTCTCTTGAGATAACATTTTATTTACTTTAAGCAAAGACAACCATGGCCCCAATAAACTGAATATAAAAGCAGATCAGAAATTCAAATCTAACTGACCAGAGTGGCCCTGAGCAAGTCATTTAATGACACTTGCAATTACTCTCATAAAACAGAGACACAACCTGCAGACACATACCTAGGAGTGCGACTGTGTGACCAAACTCAATAACTAGATAAATTTGAATGATTTATAAAGCTCTGTAAATTGTAAAGAGTAAGATTAATTTGGTGTGGATGGGTAATGGAACCACCATTCTTTATAAATGTTTTAGATCTTATTTGCTTTACACATTCAATTCTGTTCATTACTAACTTTCAAAGCACATTTTAATATCATTATCTTTAGCAAAGTACTACGGGTTTACAGTGTTTGTAAATAACTGGTCCGCTACCAGTTCATTTGAATGGGTGTTTTTATCTTAACATTCAAATTTTAATCATCACCCTCATTTTCCAATAGGATCAGTAAGTATATTGAGTGACAATGTGTATTCTTTTCCTTTGGGTTAATTGGCCAGATGCTTACTTGATTAACATATCAAAAGGTAGATATTTTATAATAAATCCTCAAAAAACATTACAACTTTTTCTGTATAAAGCTCCAGTTAAGTAACAAGTTTATTCACACCCAAGCTTACGCAGTCTGGATATATAACAATTTTCACTGTTACATAATCACACCTAGTGTTATGATTAATTTTACATGTCAACTCTAGTGGACATGGGATATGCAGATTAAATATTATTTCTGGGTGTGTCTGTGAGATGTTTCTGGATAAGATTAGCATTTGATTTGGTGAACTCAGTAAAGGAGATTGCCCTCATCTAATCCATTGAAGACTTGAACAGAACAGAAGATAGGGGAAGGGGAAATTCATCCCTTTTTCTTCTGCCTGCCTGCTTAAGCTGAGATATAACTTCTTTCTCTAGGCCTCAGACTAGAATTTACACCATTGACTCCCATGGTGGAGCTTCTCAGCCTCCATAATTATATGAGCCAATTCCCCATATATAAATTGATTATATATGTATATGAATATAAGATGATAAATTATATATATATGCAATCATATATATTTTATATACATTTATATTATAGGTAATCTCCTACACGTACTTTTTTTCTGGAGACCCCTAATACAACTAAGATGCACAATAATGCAAATCTTTGTAAGTTCAAAAGCTTTCATTTTAATGATAAAAAAATCATAGAAAATTAATCGCTGCCATTGGTCTCCCAGTAAAAAGAGGATACTAGTCATATCAGAATTAATATATTTGAGCAAAAAGTGCTAATGCTTGTCAAGTATGTCATTTCCCAGGACCAAGAAGTCTTTTTAATTTAAATTGCAAATTGACAATTCATAAGTGTATACATTTATGGGATACAAAATGATGTTATAATTTATGAAGACGATGCGGAATAATCATATCAAGCTATTTAACATATCCATCACCTCAAATACTTAAATTTTTGTCATAAGAACTTTTGAAAATTAACTCTAGTAGCAATTTTGAAATGTATAATACTCTATTATTAATTATAAATATCATACTATGCAATAGAACTCAAAAAAAGAAAAAAAATTATACCCCTTGTTTTCTGAGATTTTGTATCTTTAGATCATCATCTTTCCATTGCCCCCACCCACTAGTCTCTGTAACCTTTCTTCTAAGATCTGTAAGAGGACAAGAATGTCTGCTCTTGCTGCTTCTATTCAACATAATCTTGAAATTCCTTGCTAGAGCAATTAGACAAGAGAAAAAAAAACCCTAAGACATCTAAATAGAAAAAGATGTGAAATTTTCACTGTTTGCTGATGATATGATCTTATACATAGAAAACTTCAGACTCCCACAAAAAGTGTTAGAAGTAGTAAATGAATAAAATTTCAAGATGCAAAATCAACATACAAAACTGGTAGCATTTTATACACTAACAATCAATTGTCTGAAAAAGGAGTCAAGAGAACAATTTTATTCACAATAGCTACAGAAAAACAAAGTTCTTAGAAATAATCAAGGAGGTAAAAAAACTGTATGAAGACACAAATAAATGAAAAGATATTCTGCATTCATGAATTGGAATAAATAATATTGTTAAAAATGCCCAGAGTGTCCTAAGCAATCTATAGGTTCAATGCAATCTTTAACAAAATTTTAATGACATTTTTCATAGAAATGGAAAAATATCTTAAAATTCGTATGGAACTGTGAAGAAGCCTAACTAGCCAAGGCAGTGATGAGCAAAAAGAACAAAGCTGGAGGCATCTCATTGCCTGATTTTTAGCTATACCACAAAGCTATAGTAATTAAAATAGCATGGTATTGGCAAAAAATAGACCCATCAACCAATGGAACAGAACAGAGAACCCAGAAATCAACCCACACATATACTGTCAACTGATTTTAGACATAGATGCTAAGAATGTTCAATGGGAAAAGGACAGTCTCTTTAATAAATTGTGTTGGGAAAACTGAATTTTCACATGCTGAAGAATGATATTGGGCTTTTATTATATACCACATACAAAGATCAACTCAAAATAGATTAAAGGCTTAAACAAAAAACCAGAAACTCTAAAACTACTAGAAAAAAAGGGATACTAAAAGACTTTTAAATTATTTCATTTTTACATGTGTATAACAATATTACATTGGCAATGCTAGAGTCTTTTGTAGCTTTGCCCACTTTTTACTGATCATTTAGAGGTGTTTATACTAAATATAAAACTGGGAAGCACTTTGCTATGTAATAACGCAATTTTATATTAGAGCTGTGTGCTGAAACTTAACTATAAAATACTTATTTTTATTTGAAATTTTTATTAAGATAATTATAGATTCAGAGGCAGATGTAAGAAACAATACAAAGGGACTATGGGTATTTTTTCGTATTTTTAACCCACTTTCCCCCAATGGCAATATCTTGTGAAACTATAGTGTAATATTACAACTTAGATATTGACATTTTTACAATCCACCAATAGTATTCAGATATCCCCAATTTCACTTTTATTTATGCTTGTGTGTGTGTGCTTGTTTAGTTCTATATAATTTTATAACATGTGGGTTCATCTATTGACCACACAATGGTCAATACCATTTTGTAAATACCCATCTGTCTCCCACCTATCCCTCCTTCTCCCCAACTCACAGTCCTACCCACAAGCAACTATTAATCTTCTCTTCGTTTCTAAAATTTTGCATTTCAAAAATGTGATATAAATGAAATCATACAATAACTTTTTGGGAATGGCTTTTTTCATTTAGCATAATTCCCAGGAGATTCATCTCGGTTGTTGCATGTATCAATAGTATATTCTTCTAAGTTGTTGAATAATATTAAACAGTACAAATATACCACAGTTGGTTTAAGCATTTGTTCCTTAAAAATCATCTGGGTAATTTTTGGTTTCTGTTTAATTTAACTTAAGCTGCCATGTGTAGTTTTTTGTGTGACAAAAATCTTTGTTTCTCTGAGATATATGATCAAGAGTACCATTGTTAGGTTATGTTGTATGTTAGCGCTTAAAGAAACAGCCAAGCTGTTTTTGAGATTGGCTATACAATTTTACATTTCCACCAGCAAAGTGCAAGTGATTTTATTTTTCAATGTCGTCACCAGCTTAAATAATTGATATATGGTTTCTTAAAAATAAAAATATTCCCCCAGGTCAATAATGAGAAGATAAACAACTCAATTAATAAATTGCAGAAAGGTTTTATAGATATTTTACTTAAAAAGATGTGTGAATGGAAAATAAACACAAGAAATACTCAACCTTGTTAGCCATTAAGGAAATGTACATTCAAAAAACTAAAGTACCATAAAGCAGCCACTAAAATGACTTAAATATAAGACGATTCTGTGTTTCTGATCATGTGGAACAACTGTAACTGACATATTGCTGCTGGGAATGTAAAATAATACATATTTTGGAAAACAGGTTGATAATTTATTAAAAATGTAAACATACATACCTAATCTTTTGACTCTTAGATGTTTATACTAGATATAAACATCTAAGAGAAAAAGTATATGACCATACAAAGACTTGTAATACATATGTCCAGAGAAGCTTTTTGTAATAGTAGTCAGAAAACTGAAAACCATCAAAATTTCCATTGATAAGTAAATGGATCAACAAATTGAGGTATTGGCACACAACTAAATACTATTTATCAGTAAAAAGAATCAAGCTACTTATAGATATAACAATGTGAATAGTTCTGAAAATAATGATACATGCAAGAAGCTAAAAAAAAGTACATAGTGCATAATTCCAGTTATATTAAATTCTATAAAATGCAGAGTAATTTCTAATATCAGAAAGCAGTTTAGTTGTTAGTTGTTTCCTGCAGGGCTGCAGTGTAAGAAAGGGTTGGAGTGAGAAATTACAAAAAACTGCAAGGAAACTTTGAGTGTGATGGATACGTTCATTGTCTTGATTGTGCTGGAGGTGTTATGGATATATACATGTGCCATCAACTTGCACACTCAAATATATGCCTGAATGTGCAAGTTGATATGTGTGTGTATATATATATATATTTGAGTTTGCAAGTTGAAATATATAGATATATGAGATATATATATATATATATATATATATACACAGAGAGAGGGAGAGCAATCTGACTTCATAATGTGAGAAGAAGGAAAAAAAAAACTAAGATGCATAATATGAATAGGCCACATAGCATTTATCCTAAGTAACAAAACCAGTTATTTCTCCTTACTTCACCTACACTGCTCTTGCCAATACTTTCTCAAATGTCCACTCCATATCTTGTTTCAGATTCAAGGCTAGAATTTGATTGTCTTTCTCTAAACCCACAGCTGTTTAGAATTTACTTGCTGATAACATCTAGTGATATATAATTATATATTTTAAATGATGAAAGTTTTCATTCTAAGAGCTATGCAAAACAAAAGTTCAGAATTAATCTAATAATCGACCAGTCATCACTGTAAGACTTTGAGAAAGGTGTGATGAAATTTTACTTTCATTTTAAACAATGTTCCTTTTACAAATTTGATTATTGAAAGAATAGGCAATAGAAGTAAGTGTTCTTTTAGGAGGTTGGGAGACTACTGTAGCCATCTAGTTTAAAGATAAAGTTCTGATATTTCTAAAAAGTAAAAGTATGCCTTATTCTAAGAAATAAGAATTAGACAATATTTCTACAGAAATATCATGGTATTCATTGAATGCTACTGTTCTTGTCTCTGGTAGTAAATTTTTAAATAATAAAATATTTGCCAGGGTTATAATTAACTCACAGAAATTTTAGTGTCACACTATGTTAAAAAGTTCAGGTGATTCCTAGAGTTTGGGAAATAAGGAAAGAGAACTCTGACCAGTTCTGTTTTGCACAAATAAACTGCCATGCAGAGAAATTGAAGACTGTTCAGAAAAGAGATCAGAGTTAATTAATGGACTGATAAAGAACATATATTGGAACAAGTTGAAGGATATACAACTGTTTTAACTAGAGTAGAAAATTTTTAAAAATGACTGTATGACGATTAAGAGTGTAAAGAGTTCAAGGTGATGGTTAGAACATTTAAATCTCCAAGAAGAAAGTTGTTAATATTTTTGCCTTGGGTGTTAAAGAAATAAATTTTCCTTAACAGAACTTTGAAATATTGAAAAGGCTTAAAGTGAGAAGTTATAGCAATGCTTTCTCTGGGGAATTATAATAAAAAAATAGGAAACATTCTCATTTTTTCTGGGGGCAGTTTATAGGAAGCAGGGGGTGAAATGCATGACATCTCCAGTGCCCTTTCTAGCCTTGAGGTTCTATTATGTTCAGTTTATTCAACCAAGAGGAGGTTAGAAAGTTCATTTCATTTCTGTATCATCAACTGGGGAAATAACTTATTAACTAATAGATTTTTTTCTTTCAAATTTGTTGTTTCCCTAGTGGATCTCCAGTTTTATCCAATATTACTCTCTGAGCCATTGCAATGATCTACCAGATCGTTGCAGACCATTAACCCTTATGGTCAATGGGTTAAATTATATGAGGATTCTAATATGTATGAAAACAATTTACTTTTAAGGAGGAAAACAAGAAAGTACATTTTGGTCTATTTCCCTCAATTCTCTTATTAATATATATTTTAATATAATATTATAATGTGTAATTTTCAAAATATCTTTTTGTAGTTGCAATTTTGCATATACACTTATCATGCTATAAACACTTTTAAATATTATTTTGATAGTTTGCCAAATATTTGTTTCATAAAACAAATAATTTTTGTTTCATGAATATAACATGTTTAAGACAATCCTATTGTATATATTATTTAAAAATTTTTAACATAAAAATTTTGCAATGCACATCTTTACACATAAATCTTTTCTTTGATCTAGATCTACTATATTATGTTCTTATATAGATTTTATAAGAAAAATTGTGGTGTCAAAAGCCCTTACAATTTTTCAGATTCTTAGGAAATATTGACAAATCACTTTCTGGAAATTTAAGTCAATTTTGTAACAATATAATTACATTTCATCTGTATTTAATATGCACATACATGTGCATATTTTTCTCCAAATGTGTACAATATTCCCTTTAAAACAGTAACAACAAAACTTTGCTAACTTAAATAGCAAATTATTATATTTATATTCATATGTTAGAGTGCTAGTAAAAGACAGTCTGTTGACAACTGACTTTTTTAAAAGAAAACATGATCACCATTGTAAAATATTAATAATACAATTTCAAAATTAATTAAGTATGCATTGTTCATATATATTTTAGTGCAATATGGATGGTACTTATAAATCACCAAGTAAGTTTCAAAGAATTATGAGAAAGCTTTCTACAAAACTCTTTTCTTAGGTATATATCAAAACACGTAAAGAAATATATGACAGTTATCATATTCATATTGAAAGATAAGCACTGCAATTACTTCAAAAAAAAAAAAAAAAGGAAAGACCCAAACAAAACACAACAAAACAAAAAAAGATCCTTCATTTGAAATGGGAGGAAATAGAGCATTCAACAAGGACTGGAAATCCTCTTTCTCTTCCTCTTCATGTCTTCCTAGTCATATGTCTGACTCTTAGACATATATAAACATATCTTCATGGTCACATCTTTTCTTTTAAGCTCTTAATTTCTGCTAGTTTTCCTTCTTTGTGATCTTCCTTTGTCGTCAAAGAAATTTTGCAGACTAGAACTTATTTCCTAAATTTCTGATATAAAAATCTAGAACTATGTTAGCACTCAACTCAAGGCCAGAAACCCAATCTGAAATAGATCAAGCAAAAAGGATAGTGTATTGAATTAAATAGCCAAACTCCAGAAAGGATGAGCGGAGATGGGTTCAGAGATACCTAAACTGTAGACAGTTACATCATAAAAATCGTCTGCATCATTTTTTTCTGTCCTTTTTTGGTACTTCACTACTGAAGAAAGATGACAGTGAAAATGAAGTAGAAACATTCCATTAGATACTCACCAGCTGTGCCAAAAAAAGAAAAAATGAAGTAAAAGTTTTATTTCCAATCCTGTTTAGAAAACTTGGCTAATATTATTAAACTTTTTATAAATGAAAGAATACAATTTTATTATAATTTCAGAAAATGTAAAAAGCAATAAATAGACTGAGTTACAAAGCACATGATCACAGCAACAAGTATCTTAAATTGAATTTAAAACTCTCTAACCAATTAATGCTATATGTAGGACGCAAATGAATTCACAGTTAGTAAGTACAGAAACAAAATGCAATTGATTCTGTGCTGTCATTTCTACTATAAAATTTCTACCAGAACTCACCAAATTGCTCCTTATTACCAAATCTAATGTCTGCATGCATTTTTCACTTGTATAAATTATCTGCAGCTATCAACCTATTGCTACACTTTTGTCCAGTATTAAAATTTTCTCTTCCTTGATTTCATAGTGGATAATATCAATATCTCCCATATTGTTCTTTTGTTTTCTTTATTGTTTTTTTCTGTTACAGCTCTCTGAATTGAGGGGTTCACCAGGGCTGTAATACTATGTATATTCTCTATAGTCAGTCACATAATGGTAGTTCTCCTCCTTTTTAGTATCTTCAGCTTTCAATGTCTGCAAATGCCACCTGCAGCATAGACACTGTACTACGTCTTCATCAATAGGTTATTTTTTTCTTGATCATGCACAGCTAAAGTGCATTTCCCTACCTACCCTGAGGGAATCTGAGTTGAATTCATGAAGCTCTGTTGAAAATGATGTACACCACTTCCAAACCTGTCACCTAAAACATCCAATACACCTTTCACAAGCTTTTTCTTTCCTGGCTACTAGATTTATGTAATTTATCCAGTAAAGGATTTCAAGGTCCTAGAAGAGAATGAGACTGCTAGATGAAAGTAGCCTAGATCCCTGAATAATTGTGCAGAACAGACTCTAAGTTAACTTAAACTTATTCACCTCCTGTCCGTCTCACATTGAACTCACAACATGAACTCAGCCATGAGAAATAAATAAATCGTTATTATTGAAAGCCACTAAAATTTGGGGGCTGTTTGTTGTAACAGTTAATCTCTCCTGACTATACAGTATTCCAATCCTTATTTTTAACTTTGGTCTCCTTTTCCATGTATAGATCCATATTTCCAGTTTCTTTCTTGACATTTTCAACTACCTGTTTTGTAATTCTATGCATTTAATTATAACTTGTTGTTTTCCATGAAAAGAATAACTTTATCTCAACACCACTATTATTATTAAGGAAATAATCATGATTATATTTTAATAACACTAAAATTATTTCTTTACGTGTGACCCCTCTTTCACTCCAGGGCCTTTGCCTTTTTAATAATGAATCTTCAATAACTAGGAGAGTGTATGTTACACAGTAGGTGCTTGGCTAATATTTGCGAATAATTGAAAAATAACTTATCAAACTAATGTGAGATTTAAAAATCAAGCATTTTTAGATTTTTCTTAATAGGTAGAAAATTCATAAAGCTGAAAATTATGTGAACTCTAAATTCCTCAAGTCTCTTTCATCTCTCTCTTTTTTTCTTTGCTTATTCACGTTAATGCATATAAATGATAATTTATCTGAAATTGTGCAAAATGCTTCATTTTGTCACTGCAAACTGCCAGTACCCTAGGCTATCCTGTATGCCATTGCTACATCAGACTTTGAAAAGACAATTTAATTAGATTATTCCCCTAATTAGGTTTTTCATTGTTTGCCAAATTTGGCAGATATCTTACTTCATCAAATTCTCCCATAACATGTTCTCAGCCTATCTTCTTAGCTTAATTTCTCCTGCAGGGAAATATTTCAGATGCTCCAGTCAACCAAGACTATTAACTATTCCTCATCACCCAAGGCTATTTTATCTACTTGAAATAATTATTTATCCTAAAAATTTGTCTAAATATAAATAACTCCAACCCAAAGAAGTCTTTCTAATAATTCTAATTAAATGTGATTGTTTTCTTCTTTATCGTTCAGAATTTTGTTTGTTTGTTTCAGGAAGCTATCACTTAATAATTAATGTAGCCACATCTGAAGCAACTGCCTGGATTTCATTCCTGACTCCTCTGCCTAGTAAATATGTGATAATAAGTAAATCATTTAACTAATTTGTGCTTCAGTGTATTTGTAAACAAGTGGTGGATGCTAGTAGTATCTACTTTGTTATATTGTTGAAAAAAATCAAATGAGTTAACACGAGTAATATTCTTATACTAACACATCATACATTAGTATTATATAATATTTGCAAATGTTTTATTGTTGCATCAAACTCAACAATATTTTATTATACCATTTGCATTGTGAAACATGAAATTTTCCTTATGCTCGCAATATACATACATATGCCATAATTTTTTTAAAAAACAAGTTTACTTCGTAACTGCTCATTCATTCAACAAACATCTAAGAGATATCCACTCTGTGACAGAACATTTTCCCATGCTCTAAAAATACATTATGTGATAAGGATAGTAGCTCCTAAATATTTCCATATCCTAATCTCTGGAAGTTGGGAATATATTGCTTTATATGGCAAAAGGGCCTTTGTAGATTTGATTAAATCAAGAATCTTGACATGGGACACACACTCTGGATTATTCAGATGAGTTCCAATGTGATCATAAGACTTCTTTTAAGAAAGAGAAAAGAGGTTCGAAGTCAAAAGATGGGATGTAATGAGAGAAACAGGTTGGAGTAATATGTTTTGAAGAAGAAAGAAGGGTCCACAAAGCCTATGAATGAATGTATGTGACCTCCAGAATGTGAATAAGACAAGGACACAAATTCTTCCCTGGAAACAGATTCTTCCTCCAGAAGGAACATTGCTCTTTGATATGTTAATGTTAGTCCCCTAAGACTCATTTTGGACCTCAAGAACTATAAAATAATACATTTGAGTTGTTTTGTCACTAAGTTTGTGTAACTTGTTACAGCAGCAATAAGAAAATAATTAAAATGTTACAGTAGTACCACCAAGACATTGCACCTCCACATATCCATGCTCTTGTGTAGTTTCTTCCCACATTGTTATTGATTTTAGCCATGAGATTTATTTTGCTCAGTTATACACTAACAAACACAACCAGTAACTTGCATATAACATATTGAAGCTTGCCCTCTCTTGCTGCTGAAAAACATTCTTCTATCCTGTAAAAAATTCCAAGTTAGACTTTTTGAGGATAAGAGAACAAATATGGGTTTTGCTATTCCAAATAGCCCACCCATGGCTGCCCTAGCAGTCATATCCCAGATTTATAAAAGAGCCCCCCCAGTTTTTAAAGCCTTCAGATGGAAACTTGTTCAATTTTCACTGTTTGAATGAAACTGAGTGAGCAAAGAACAAGTAGTAGAGGATGAGGTCAGAAGGAGAGCAGCACCATGGAAGTCACAGCATGTACTCGGATCATGCTCTGCAGCATAAGGGAAGCAAGTAAGTGGCATTTATCTGACATATTCTGAAAGAATTTCTGGCTGCTAAACAGGGAAAAGATTGAAGCAGGGCCAAGATAAAAGCAAAACGTCCAATTAGAAAGCTATTTCAACAATACAGGTGAGAAATAGCAACGTTTTGGATGATGATGAAAACAGTACAATGTTGAAAATTTGGTTGGATCATGGATATTTTGGAAGTTGAGATGACAGAGTTTGCTCTGAGTTCTAAGAGAAGATGGATATTTTGAAAGTTGAGATGACAGAGATTGCCCATGAGTTGTAAGAGAAGAGGATTTATCTGATTTGCTGATGTAGTGTAAACTGGGGGAACAGCAGATTATTGGTTTTGGAAGAAGGTAAATAAGGTAGAGCTCAGTTTTGAATGTGTGATGTGAGTGATGTCCATCAGACATTTAAGGGGAGTTGCTGAGTAGGCAGTTGTCATTGTTTGATGAGCCAAGCCAGAGTTCAAGTAAGAGAAAAGTTTGTGTTGGAGATATAAGCCTGGGAACCACCAGCATACCTGCAGTATTTCAAACCAAAGAAAAGAAGAGATTTTCTAGAGAGATTGTGTAGAAAGAGAAGAGAAAAGCCCTGCACCTAGGCACTGCAGCTTTTACAGATGAGAAAATGGGAAGAAGAGGAATCAGAATTGGGGAGGAGGCTGTAACCAAATTCTATCTACCACTATTTTCTATGTGATTCACATACAATGATATCATTCAATCACCTACTTTACAGGTGGGAATAACCAAGATTTGGGGAAGTTAAGCAACTTGCCTAATATCGTAAGTGAGATAGCTAGGTTAAATTCCCTAACTTATTAAGTTCCCAAACCTCAGGTTTTAAACACAGATCCAATTTTATGTAAAAAATTGAGCCACATAGCGATAGTTTTCTGTTCTTCTTATATCAAATTATTCACTGCAAATTACTAAAGTTTCACTTGTCATATACAATGTTATTTGAGATTGAAATCCCTGGCTGCTCCCTATTTTACTAACCACAAAACTGCTCACAGCTGGGATATGAGCCATTATTACTTATTCACTACTATGTAAGATAGTTTATCCAGAGCATAAAAAGGAGTGAATAAGGCTGTTAGAAAAGAACAGTCACATTACAACAATTCAGCTTGGTTATTACTGCATCATTTCTCCCCTGTTGGTTATATTCTCTCAATTGTTGAACATTATCTTACACTTTAAAGCATTCTTTATATTTGGAGGAACTGGAGAATATTTCATTAAAATTATCATAAAGCTGGAAACCAACGTCAGCTATAAATTATTTCACTGTGTAAGCCATTGGGATATAAACATTTCCTATCATAATATAAAAAGTTGAGTGGGATGCATGGGGGAGTCTTACTGAATCTAAAACCTTGGATTTACTCTCTGCCTTTTTCTTTTTTCAGCTGTTATTAGAGAGAGAGAGTGAGAACACAAAGAGTTGTTTCTAATGCAGCTTTTAGCATCTTTGGCTTACCATAAACACCACAGCAATTAGGATTTATAATGAAAATAATGTTTATATTGACAAAAAATTTAAGAGAATTAAAATTAATGTGCCAAAGTAATTTAGAATTGAAGATTAAAATGGGTCACTATTGGGACATTCATAAGTTAATATCCAGAACCTTTATCAGTTAGGAGTTGATACCTTCACAATTACCCACGGGTCTTCTTACCTCCAGCACTGTCTATGAAGTCTATATTTTGCACTTCCTTTAAAGTTCAAGTAATTTTGATCATCTTACTTATATGCCCCCTTACTTACAAATTTCTAAGGGTCTTTCATCTCAGTTATATGTAATCCTTGGGTGACTTCAGAGTCAGCTTGGTTGTTTTGAAGAAGTACGTATTCTAAGGCTCTTTGCTTACTCAGAGATTCTTATATAGTAGGTAGGCATGGGGCAAAATAATTTTTATTTTTTTTCTGAAGCTCCTTAGAAAATTCTGGAGCCAGGGCATAGCTTGCAAAAAAGTAGTTATACATTTGGCAGTGGATTGGGAAGGATTTGTCTACAGTGACTACTGTATTGACTAGAATGTTAGAGCTTCTATTTTGTCTATAATCAGTTCCAAACACACACACACACACACACACACACACACACACACATTTAATATATGAATTGACAAAGGTACCTCTTGTCCATAGGTCCCCATGGTAATGTGGCATCCCTGAGAAGAAAAAGAGTTCTACTCCAGGGAGGGTTTGACAAGAGCACATAGTTTTGTTGTCTTCAAGCACATTATTAAATATTTCAATTTATGACTGCCCAGTTACATGAATGTAAAGTTTACATTTTGTAGGCTTAACTCATCAAACGCTTACCTAATTAAAAAAAACTTTTAAACAATAAAAATTCTCAATAATCTGATGACTATGGATACTATCAATAATGCATGTTTTACGCCAGGTGCAGTGGCTCATGCCTGTAATCCCAACACTTAGGGAGGCCAAGGCAGGCAGATCACTTGAGTCCAGGAGTTTGAGTTTAGCCTGAGAAACATGGTGAAACCCTGTCTCTGCAAAAATATATGCATCAAAAACCAGCAGAGCATGGTGGCACATGCCTATAATCCCAGCTGTTTGGGAGGTTGAGGTGGGAGGATCACTTGAGCCCAGGAGATTGAAGCTGCAGTGAGCTGAGCTGTGATCATGCCATTGCACTCCAGCCTGGGTGACAGAGTGAGACTCTGTCTCAAAAAATAATACTACTAATAATAATGATCATATATGTTTTGATAATCTGACAATCAATTTTATTTCAAGGCTTAAAGGAAAAACATTGCTATAATATTTTGTAAAAAGTAAGCCGTATAAATCGACATTATCAAAAATCTACTTCAAATAACTACAGCATTTGTATTCACTATAGTTAACAAACCTCACCTTAAATATATATTGTGTCCTAAGAAATGATGTCTGATGATATGAAGATATTTTAAAATATACTTTAAATACTGTTTATCATTTATTTTATCTGTGCTTAATGCCAATGTTTTTGTCTTTTACTGTGATTTAAAATGCAATAGTATATGCATATGACTAGATTTACATATATTTTAAATAAATGATGACAAATATATGAAGGTATATTCAATTGTTTTTTAAATAAGAACAAAGAATCCAAAAAATTGAATACTGCTTTTGAAAAATAAAATCCAAATTTCTGGACAAAGCACAGAAGGGCTCCTCATCACTTGACCCTAAGTTATGTCCAAAGATACCCTCAGAACATGACTTTTCCCCCTTCTACAGGTATGCAAAACCCTAGCCTGAAATTAAGAGGACAGAGGCAGAAGAAGGAGTTGGAAATTTATTTAAGAGAAAGATCCCCATGCCCTAATCTCATAAATTCTAAATAATTATGTGCCCGGAGGATGGTCCAACAAAATGCTCTTTTAAGAAGTGCATTTTGGGCCAGGCACGGTGGCTCATGCCTGTAATCCCAGCACTTTGGGAGGCTGAGGCGGGCGGATCACGAGGTCAGGAGATCGAGACCACAGTTGGGTGCGGTGGCAGGCGCCTGTAGTCCCAGCTACTCGGGAGGCTGAGGCAGGAGAATGGCATGAACCCGGAAGGCAGAGCTTGCAGTGAGCCGAGATTGCGCCACTGCACTCCAGCCTGGGTGACAGAGCAAGACTCTATCTCAAAAAAAAAAAAAAAAAAAAAAAAAAGTGCATTTTGAAAAGCACTGGTTTAAGCACACTTATTATTGGTTATTTCTGAACCTTTACTTATTCCATTGTCATTGCTAAAAATATTATTTTTCTTATTGGGTGATATGGTCTGGCTGTGTCCCCACCCAAGTCTCATCTTGAATTGTAGCTCCCATAATTCCTGTGTGTTTTGGGAGGGACCAGTGGGAGGTAATTGAATAATGGGGGTGGGTCTTTCCCATGCTGTTCTCATGATAGCAATTAAGTCTCATGAGATCTGATGGTTTTATAAAGGGGAGTTCCCCTGCACATGCTCTGTTGCCTGCTGCCATGTAAAACGTGACTTTGCTCCTCCTCTGCCTTGTGCCATGATTGTGAGGCCTTTCCAGACATGTGGAACTGTGAGTCTATTAAACTTATTTCCTTTTTAAGTTACCCAGTCTCTGAGATATGTTTATTAGCAGCATGAGAACAGATGAGTAGAGTAAACTGGTACTAATAGAGGGGGGTGCTGTTGTAAAGATACCTGACATGTGGAAGTGACATTGGAACTAGGTAACAAACAGAGGTTGAAACAGTTTGGAGGGCTTAGGAAGATGTGGGAAAATTTGGAACTTCCTAGAGACTTATTGAATGGCTTTAACAAAAATGCTGATAGTGATATAGACAATAAAGTTCAGGCTGAAGTCTCAGATGGAGATGAGGAACTTTTTTGGGAACTGGAATAAGATCACTCTTGTATGCAAGAGACTGTTGGCATTTTGCCCCTGCCCTAGAGATCTGTGGAACGTTGAACTTGATATAGGGTATCTGGTGGAAGAAATTTCTAAGCAACAATGTGTTCAAGATGAAACAGAGCATAAAAATTTGAAAAATTCACAGCCTGATAACACAGTAGAAAAGAAAAACCCATTTTCTGGGGAGAAATTCATGCTGGCCTAAGAAATTTGCATAATTAACAAGGAGCCAAATGTTAATCACCAAAACAGTAAGGAAAATGTCTCCAGGGCGTGTCAGAGACCTTTGTAGCAGACCCTCCCATTACAAGCTAGGAGGCTTAGGAGAAAAAAATAGTTTCATGGGTCAGGGCCAGGACCCCCCTACTCTGTGCAGCCTAGGGACTTGGTGCCCTATATCCCAGCTTCTCCAGCTGTAGCTAAAAAGGGCCAAGGTACAACTCAAGCCATGGCTTCAGAGGGTGCAAGCACCAATCCTTGGCAGCTTCCACATGGTGTTGAGCCTGTGGGTGCACAGAAGTCAAGAATTGAGGTTTGAGAACCTCCACCTAGATTTCAGAGGATGATAGAAACTCCTGAATATCCAGGAAGAAGTTTGCTGCAGTGGTGAGACCGCCATGGAGAACCTCTGCTAGGGCAGTGGGGAAGGGATATGTGGGGTTGGAGCCTCCACACAGAGTCCCCACTGGGGCACTTCCTAGTGGAGCTGTGAGAAGAGGGCCACCATCCTCCAGACCCCAGAGTGGTAGATCCATCGATAGCTTGCGCTGTGCACCTGGAAAAGCCGCAGACACTCAATGCCAGCCTGTGAAAGCAGCCAGGAGGGGACATTGTACCCTTATAGGGTACAATGGGTACAGGGTTGGAGCTGCCTAAGACCATGGGAACCCACCTGTTGCTTTAGCATGACCTGGATGTGAGATCATTTTGAAGCTTTAAGATTTTACTGCCCCATTGAATTTCAGACTCTCATGGGGCCTGTAGCCCCTTCATTTTGGCCAATTTCTCCCATCTGGAAAGGGTGTATTTACCCAATGCCTATACCCCCATTGTATCTAGGAAGTAACTAACTTGTTTTTGATTTTACAGACTCATAGGCAAAGGCACTTGCCTTGTCTCAGATAGACTTTGGACTTGGACTTTTGAGTTAATGCTGAAGTACGTTAAGACTTTGGAGGACTGTTGGGAAGGCATGACTGGGTTTGAAATTATGGGGATATGAGATTTGGCAGATGCCAGGGGCAGAATGATATTATTTGGCTGTGTCCCTACCCAAATCTCATTTTGAATTGTAGCTCCCATAATTCCCACGTGTCATGGGTGAGACCTGGTAGGAGGCAATTGAATCATGCCAGTGGGTCTTTCCTGTGCTCTTTTCATGACAGTGAATAAATCTCATGAGATTTATTTATTTTATTTTATTTTATTGCTATTTTCTGAGGTGGAGTCTTGATCTATCACCCAGGCTGGAGTGCAGTGGTGTTATCTCAGCTCACTGCAACCTCCGCCTCCTGGGTTCAAGCGATTTGCCTGCCTCAGCCTCCTGGGTAGCTGGGACTACAGGCACCCGCCATGATGCCTGGCTAATTTTTGCATTTTTAATATTAACAGGGTTTCACCATGTTGGCCAAGATGGTCTCGAACTCCTGACCTCAGGTGATCCACTCACCTCAGTCTCCCGAAGTGCTGGGGTTACAGGCGTGAGCCACTGTCCTTGGCCCTAATGGTTTCATAAATGGGAGTTCCCCTGCACATGCTTTCTTGCCTGCTGTCAGGTAAGATGTGACTTTGCTCATCCTTCGCTTTCTACCATGATTGTGAGGCCTCTCCAGCCGTGTGGAACTTTGAGTCCATTAAACCTCTTTCCTTTATAAATTACTCAATCTTGGCTATGTCTTTATTAGCAGCGTGAGAACAGACTAATACATTAGGCAATTAATTCACTGTGATATTTGAAGTCCAAAATCTACAACCTTCTTCTCTGCAACATTCCTTAAACATTAAGCCTTAAGATGGATACAGCAATAATTTTATCCCCATCTGTGTTCCATTAGCATTTTGCATGCATCTTCATTTTATTCCCAATCAACTTCCTCCACGAGGCATAAATCACTAGCCAGAAGCATCACCTGGGAACTTGTTAGAGATGAAGAATCACAGGCTCCACCCCAAATTTACTGACTTAAAATTTATTTTTAATAAGTTCCCAAGTTGATTCATGTGCACATTACATTTTTGGAAGTACTTTCTTTCAAATTTCACAGTAGTTGCTTTACTTTTTCTTTTCTTTTCTTTTTCTTTTTTTTAAGGTTCTATGTGTCTCTCTTCTGGTAAACTAAGAATTTCTTCTGGACTGAGATTGAGTTTTAAAGGACATTGTTACTTCAGCTTTTAGCACAAAACCAGATATACCGTTAGTACTCAGCATAAATTTGTTAAAATGAAAACATAATTGTGAAAAAATTTATGATGCTGCAAAAGAAGAAAAGTAAACATATAAAGAAAAGAGAATAAAGATTAATGCAATACAAAAAAGGGGCATGTGAAAATGTAATAGCGATAGAAAATCATAATATATATCATTTTCAGATTAAATTATTATTTTTATTTCCTCCCGTTGCAAAGAAACCCACTACCAGTATTACTTAATACTGCTTGGTTAACTCAAAAATTGGCATTTTGTTTTACACAGTTTTAATGTTAAGAAAGTGTTTTACTACATTATAAATATCACAAGCCATTGCCGTAGAAACATTAGTATATCATTAGCATATGTGTTTAGTGATTTTAAAACATGTTTGTGAAAGTTTCTTAAAAACCCAGGACCTGGTCTATAGCTTCAATAATCCTGATTTAGGGGCCATAGTGCATGACCGGGACCCTTAGTGGAAGATTATGATGCATATCATGTGGGGGAGCCCTTGGCTGTAGATACAGTTATTCTTTGTTACTGGTTGAATTTTGGCCCCCTAAAAAATATTTGTTGAAATCCAAAAGGGTTAATTTTACGTGTCAATTTCACTGAGTTGAATGCCCAGAATAGGTGGTAAAACACTATTTCTTGGAGTCTCTGTGAGAGTGCTTTCAGAAGACATTGGCATTTGAATCCATAGACTGTGTAAAGAAGTCCCACCCTCACTAATGTGGGAGAACATCATCCAATTCTTTGAGGGTTTGAGAATACAAAACATGAAGAATGAATCCTGTATATTTCTTCTTTAGCTCAGACACCCATCTTCTCCTGTTTTCAAACATTGGAGCTCCTGGTTCTGAGGCATGCAGACTCTGGACACCAGTGGTTCTCTGGACACCAGTTTTCCTGGTTCTCTAGCTTGTAAATGATGTAGTATTGAACTTTTTGGCCTCCACAACCACATGTGCCCAGTTCTCTTAATAAATGTCTGTCTGTCTATCTATCTATCTATCTATCTATCTATCTATCTATCTATCTATCATGTATCTATCATCTATCTATCATCTATCTATCTATATCTATCTATCTACTGTTGGTTCTGTTTCCCTGGAAAGCCTTGAATAATACAATGTTCTAATCTCCAGTACCTCAGAATGTAACCTTGTTTGTAAACAGGTTGTTGGTAGGTGTAATTAGTTAAGATGAGGTCATAAGGGAATACGGTAGTCCTTTAATGCATTGTGGCTGGTGTTCTTACAAGAAGAAAAGAGAAAGACACATAGGGAGAACCCTGTGTGGAGACGGAGGCAGAGACTGAAGTGACGTGTTCACAAACCAAGAGATCCCAAGGTTTGTGGTTGTCACCAGAAGCCAAAAGCGAGGCATGGAACAGAGTCTCTCTCAGAACTCTCAGAGAGAACCAACTCTGTGGAATCTTAGTTTTGACTTCTAGCATACAGAACTATAAGATAATAAATTTCTATCCTTTTAAGCTACTCAATTTGTAGCACTTTGTTACAGCAGCCCTAGGAGACGAAGACATCGATGTTCTTCTTAAATCAGCTTGAGTAGTTCTTGTTCTTGTTGTCAGAGACCAGAAGTTCTGAAGCTTTAGTGTATATGACCAAGAACACATTTGCTTGCTTGAGATTTCTGAACTTTATCCTATAGCAACAGAATCTGTAAGAGTGGGTATTGGACATCTGCTCTCTTCTGATACAGCTGACCTGTGATTACTTTTTAAGGCATAAACTTGCTAGTCTGAAACCTAAGAATTATATTCCATTGAAGGTTAATGGGTAACTAAATCTACTAAATTGCATTATCTTTTTGAATACCATGGCAGTAAGTGAAGTAAGGCTTTGAATCCAGATCTTTCTAAGTTCAAATTCTATGCAGTCTCTTCATTGTGGCAGAACTTTTTCTTGAAGGTTATTTTTAGGGAAGGACAGGTATTAGTGTCTTAGGTTTGTAAACAGAGAATGTGAATTACACAGAAATTTTCTTGTAGAGAGAGATCGTGTTGTTGTTGTTGACGTTTTGTAAGCTGGCCGCAGGAGAAAATGAACAGAGGAGAGTAACTGAAATAAACGACATCTTTGGTGAATGTCTTGATGAGTTCGAGGGCATATATGTAGGGGACAAGGGGGGAGGGCCAGTAGATGTAACTAGTTAAAATGAGGTATTACTGGAATAGGATAGGCCCTTAATCCAGTAGGGTAGACCTTTTTCCTCTCCTATGCACAGAATCTAGCACCACTGTGGCAATGTGTAGGATGTAGTAGCATTTGAAAATGTCTAGAGGTAGCATCCTTGGCATGGCGTTGGCAATTTCCTCAGGAGCACTAACAAAACTAGAATCAGAGATTTCTTCAATTAACATTTAAAGAAATAGACATCAGCCCTATTTCTCATTAATAATATCTAAGCTCAAATGTCCCTTCATCAGAGTGGATATCCTTTATTGCTATTTCTAAAGGAGCAACTACTGCTGTTATTCTAGCAAAATATCCTTTTGATTTTCTTTATAACTTCTGTCTCTCTCTCAAGGGCTCAAAAGTATTTGTGAAATGATTAAATGAATAATCCAAGGAGCTGGATTGAGAGAGTATAAATGTAGCAGTGGATCTTTATACATTGGGGATACACTGGTATGTGAGATACATAGTCTCTGATTTCATGGGTCCACCTTGGGGAATTCAAACAAGTAAATGTTCATTAGATAGCATTTCTATCATAAGTGCTGTCATGGTTAATATTGAGTGTCAACTTGATTGGATTGAAAGATTCAAAGTGTTATTACTGGGTGTGTCTGTGAGGGTATTGCCAAAGGAGATTAACATTTGAGTCAGTGGACTGGGAAAGGCAGACCAACCTTCAATCTGGGTGGACACCATTTAATCAGCTGCCAGCGTGGCTAGGATAAAAGCAGGCAGAGGAATGTGGAAGGACTAGACTGGCTAAGTCTTTTGGCCTCCATCTTTCTCCCGTGCTGGATGCTTCCTGCCCTCGAACATCGGACTCCAAGTTTTTCAGCTTTTGAACTCTTGGACCTACACCAGTGGTTTGCTAGGGGCTTTTGGGCCTTCAGCTACACACTGAAGGCTGCACTGTCAGCTTCCCTACTTTTGAGGTTTGGGGACTCAGACTGGCTCCCTTGCTCCTCGGCTTGCAGAGGGCCTATTGTGGGACTTTACCTTTTGATCATGTGAGTCAGTACTCCTTAATAAACTCTCTTTAATGTGTGCGTCCATCCTATTAGTCCCATTCCTCTAGAGAACCCTGACTAATACAAATGCTATAATAAAAGAAATAGAAAAAATCTGTGGCACTCACATAGATGTGCAATTAAACCAGACACAGATGGAATCGGAAAAAGAAAACGTCCAAGAAATGGAAAACACAAAATGTTTATATAGAAGTGAAAAATATTAAGTGTGTGAATGTGACTGTGTGTAAGTGTGCATCTGTACAAGTGCATTTTGTGGTTATATCAGAGGTGGGATGGGGCAAAGCTAGAGAGAATAAGAGGAGATATTCTATCTCAATAGTTAGCAGAGGCTACAGATTATGATAAAAAATATTTTTAATTTCATTTACTTGGAAAAGATTAAAAAGTTTGACAATATCAAGTGTTGTAGCAGATGGGGATGAAAGGTATCTTATCTACTTCTGGTCGGGATGTAAATTAGTACAACCGTCTTTAAAAAATAGCATTATTTTGTGACAATATTCAGTCATATTTGCTCTGAAAGAAATTTTGGATGCTTCCAAAATTTAAATTCACCATTAAAGAGCAAATGTGTTTTCACCATTGAGATTATATAAATGGATGTGCCAGAGAAGACTGCACTTACTTAGATGTGTACACTCTCAAACACATTTTATAAAATTTAACACACTCACATTATATCCAGGCAATTTTAATTTGGGGTACATATCCTCTCCTCCAAAATTCTTGTGTATATGCAATGGTAGACAAATACAGGTATTTTTACAGTGGTACTGTTCATATGGAAAAGCGATAAAGTGAGTCACGAAAAGAGGAATAGTTTAATTATGTACACCTGTGGTCCAGTGAAAGGGTAAAAAATATGCAAGGACTTGTAGTCACGGTAAGTCAACTGTATAAGCTGTGTTGTTAATCTTGACTTAAAAGCAGTGGGAAAAAAGGTAAGGAGCAAGGCAAGAAAGATACTATCATCAGATATGATTTGTAAGATTTGGTGACTGATTGGTTATTGGGGGTAAGAAAGGAGTCTAAGTGACTCAACAGGCCAACTCCATTCATGTTGATGCCACTTATTGTGAATTTTAAATACGGAAAGTAAGCCAATTTAGGTGATGGAAAGAGGAGAGATACTAATTTTAAATTGTATTATACAGCATTAATATCACCATTAGCTACTCTTACCTATCCTACAGTCATTTGCAGGACACTGGGTATTTGATGTTCCTTTGGGTGCTTAGTAGTTTCTTATACTGAGAAAAATATATATATTAGCATATTATCTTGGGTTTTTATTTCTACCTTCTATTTAAAAGAGAGACACAGACAATCAGCATGGTATCCCTTACAACATGGCTTAATATATTTTAAACATAAGAATAGATCATCTATCTATTTATTTCAAAATAAGAGAAGTTGTTTTCTGTTGCTCTTGCCACTGCATATTCATAGATCACTTTTTAAAACTTCCTTAACATTCCTGACACTTCAAAAGAGGATATTATCCCAAGTTGGCACTTAGTTTAATCTACATATGGGGTGGTTTGTTTTTCTCTTGTTGATCCTTGAAGACTTTTCATTTGTCTCTCCCATATGGCAAAAATGGGTACCTATTTTGTGAGCATCTGCAAGGCAATATTTAATACCCTCACATTCCTAAGAAATTATGTTCAAGCTGACACGTTTTCACAACCAATGTAGTTAAAATGTGTAATGTCATTGTGCCTGAACAGAATAAGAATCAATTGTCAATTTTGTTGAACATTAGAAATTTTATATGCTCTATAATTCATGGTGGACAAGACTGCATATTAATTTATTTCAGCAAATTTATTTGACCATTCAATGTTTATTTTTTCCTTTTTGATCCAAATGTTTATCAGGAAAAAAATAGAATCAGGTTGAATGTTGATATGCAAAATAATATGATATGATATCACAGATGACACCATGAACTTTATGTTTATATCCCATGTTTACACCAGATTTGACTCTAAATTCTTGGGTGCAGCAATTTTGAGATTTTTAATCTTGGTAAAAAACACACTAATTTCCCTAATGCTTTTTGTTCAAAATATTTTTAACTACATTTGTGATATCACCTTTAGAGTCAAATTATATGCCACATAACAAAATAAGTACCATTTCTCTATATTTTCACACCGAAAGTATACTGCCTACTGTCAAACACAATATTTTGTTACATTGGCTCTGAGAAAATTGTGAATGCTTCCAAAATTTAAATTCATCATTAAAAGACAAATGTGTTTTCACCAATGAGAGTATATAATTTGATGTGCCACCAAAAACTGCACTCATTTAGATGTATAAATTCTCAAATGCTTTTAACAACATCTGTTGCATAGCTTTAAATTAATATTTTGTATACTAAGTTGAATATGATACACATGATATTTCCCCCAGGATGTTCTCTACTGTAAATAGTGCAAAGATGTCTAAACATTGCTGATAAAATCTTAATCTTATTCCTCTAATCTAAGGATCATCATTTTTCTGAAAAGGGCCATATAGTAAATAGTTTAGATTCTGTGGGCCATATTGTTTCTCTGACAACTACTAAGTCTTATCATGGGAGCAAGGAAGCAGCTATAGATGGTAAGTAAGCAAATTGGTATGACTGTGTTCCAATAAAAGTTTACAAAAACAGGCAGCAAGGTCTGTGGATCACAGTTTGCCACTCCCTGATCCAATCGATTGTAGTTATGTATTGCATAGATATAACACAGGCTTCTTAACTTATTTATGAAATTATTAGTAAAATGATGGAATTGAAAGTTCAAGATAACTAAGGGATGTAATGAGCATTGCATAGAATATACACAAAGTTAAATATCATTGGTAGAACTGAGGAAATATCCTCTGTTTGTTGGAAAGATTTTAATTCATCTATTCATCCCATAAATATATATTGAGTGAATAGTAAATATAAGCCCTTATGATAGGAACAGGAGAAACAGTGATGGACAAAAGAAGACATGGTTCTAGTCTAAGTAAGCCTGCATTTAATGCTTTGAAGAACATACCTGTGTGCTTTGGGAGAGTATCCTCTACTGTGAGAGGTAAAAGAGTTAAATGAAGATCACACAGGCTTATTTATTTATCATGTTAGGTCTCCAAATCTTTCCTATCCTAAGTAACAGATTGGACTGTTCATTACAGGAATAAATAAAAAAGGAATAAAAGAGAACAAAATACCATGGAATCAATAACAGAGTTGCAGTATAAGAGTTTATTGAATTTGCTCAAAGTCATGCCTAAAGTGATGACGGCAATCATGGAAATTCATATTGTAGCATGACTTCCCAATAGTGTAGGTTCTAGTCTATTTCAGTGCAGTTTTGTTCCTAGAGGAAATTAGAAATAAAATGCAGGTAGCATGTTCCAAGACCCCTAGCAGATGTCTGAAAACATGGATAGTACTGATCCCAAATGATATGACTTGAATATATGCCCCACAAAATATATCGAATTGTAATCCCCAGTGTTGGAGGTGGGGCCTGGTGGAAGGTGTTTGTGTCAAGAGAGGCAGATCTCTCCTACCTTGCTGCTGTCCTTAAGATAGTAAGTTCTTGAGAGATCTGCCTTTTCAGAAGTGTGTGGCACCTCCCACACCAACTCTCTTGCTCCTGCTCTGGCCGTGTGAGATTCCTGCTCCCCCTTTGCCCGCTGACATGATTGCAAGCTTCCTTAGGCCTCTCCAGAAGCAGATGCCAGCATCATGCTTCCTATACAGCCTGTAGAATCATCAGCCAATTAAACCTTTCTTATAAGTTACCCAGTCTCAGGTTTTTTTTATAGCAATGCAAGAAAGGCCTAACACACCTCTATATACCAGTTTATATTTTCTGTAAATATATACCTATTATAAATTAGACTAGGCACAGTAAGAAATAAACAAAACTAATAATCATTATAACAATATTCTGTAATAAAAGTTATTTGAATGTGGTCTCCCTCTCAAAATAAGGTATGACTCTACTTACCCTTCTTGTGATGATATGAGATGATAAAATGCCTAGGTGATGAAATAAAGTGAGGTGACTTATGTAAGTATTGTGACCTAGCATTAGGCTACATTGATCTTGAACGTGAGCACTGCAATCCTGGACAGTTATTCTGATAAACAAGGGGGCTACTAAAGGATGAACTGGCAGGTAGCATATACAGTGTGGAGACATTTGACAAAGGGATGATTTATGTGCCAAATGAGAGGACGTGGAAGTACACAGGATTTCAACATACTACTCAGAATGGCATGCAATTTAAAAATTATGAATCATTTATTTCTGAAATTTTTCAGTTAACATTTTCAGACCATGGTTGACCATATGTAACTGAAACTGGGGAATACAAAACCACAGGTGAGCGAGGACTACTGTAATAGTTTTGGAGCATCTACTATTTAATAAAGATACTACAGTGAGCTCTCTATATATTATCTTCTTAATCCTAAACAATAATCATCTTAAGAGTTCAAAATTATTTTTCACATTTGGCACACGTAGAAGCTAAAGATAAGAAGAAAAAAAACAAACATGTTGGTCAACCATGCTAAAGATAAGAAAAAAAAGTGTTGATCAATCAACTAATAAGAACCAAGTCAGATAAGGACTCAGATCTTTCCACGTAACAAATCTGTGCTGCTTTTGTTATAACTTTCTTTTTTTTCTTTCCGAGACGGAGTCTCACTCTGTCGCCCAGGCTGGAGGGCAGTGGTACGATCTCGGCTCACCGCAACCTCCGCCTCCTGGGTTCAAGCAATTCTGCCTCAACCTCCCAAGTAGCTGGGATTACAGGCACGCACCACCGTGCCCAGATAATTTTTGTATTTTTAGTAGAGACAGGGTTTCATCATGTTGGCCAGGATAGTCTTGAACTCCTGACCTCATGATCTGCCCACCTTGGCCTCCCAAAGTGTTGGGATTACAGGCTTGAGCCACTTTTGCTATAACTTCATGTGTATAGGAAATCATATTAATAGGAACATGAGATTATTATAGGTACTATTATGAAAATTGCAATTTAAAATTTTTTTAAGTCTAATACTTGGCTTGTACTAAACAGCGAACATCATGTCCCTTCTCTCATCTTTTTAAAAACATTTGCAGGAATATATCAGTTTAAATGTGACTTTTCTATCCTCATTTGCAGATAGTCTTAATAACTTCTTAGTTACAAGAGTAGAAAATAGATACTTAATATAAAATGTTAATATCAACAAGACATTGTGACTGTCTCTAGAATAGTTTACTCAGCTATATGCCAGAAAGATTATGTTACTTACTTGCAACAGAATAGGGTTTTTCTCTGGATTAGAAGCTAATATTTATTAAGATATTGTCTTATTGACAGAGAAAAGCATTTCAGATAGAGACGAACTGATACACCAAATATGAGCATAACTAATAAAAAAACTCACTCATCAGATTGAAGGGTTTCATTCAGAAGTACTATTTGTGACCTACATGACTAAAGTTGTCGATTTAAAAATCCTCTGGCTGCAAGACTAAATGCAAAATAAACTTTCCATAAATTCTGTGCTTCTGTCGATAAAGGTATTTCTCATAAAGATATGGGCTGATAATTCTGATAAACCTATACGTGTATACTGGTTTTGACGAGTAAATGGATAATGTATGGTAGGAGCCAGGCTTTTCACTGTTGTTGGAGTGGGAATTTAGGGATAAGAAAGGGGAAGAGTCTGGAATGATGCACATGGTAATAAGTCACACCAGTTAGAATGGCGATTATTAAAAAGTCAGGAAACAACAGATGCTTGCGAGGCTGTAGAGAAATAGGAACACTTTTACACTGTTGGTGGGAATGTAAATTAATTCAACCATTGTAGAAGACAATGTGGCGATTCCTCAAGGATCTAGAACCAGAAATACCATTTGACCCAGCAATCCCATTACTGGGTGTATACCCAAAGGATTATAAATAATTTTCCTGTAAAGACACATGCACACATATGTTTATTGCAGCACTATTTACAATAGCGAAGACTTGGAATCAACCCAAATGCCCATCAACAATAAACTGGATAAAGAAAATGTGGCACATATATACCATGGAATGCTATGCAGCCCTAAGAAAGAATGAGTTCATGCCCTTTGCAGGGACATGGATGAAGCTGGAAGCCATCACCCTCCACAAACTAACACAGGAACAGAAAACCAAACACTGCATGTTCTCACTTACAAGTGGGAGTCGAACAGTGAGAGCGCATGGACACAGGGAGGGGAACATCATACACCGGGGCCTGTTGGGGGTTGGGGGCAAGGGGAGGGAGAGCATTAGGACAAATACTTAATACATGTGGGGCTTGAAACCTAGATGTTGGGTTGATAGGTGCTGCAAACCACCATGGCACTTGTATACCTATGTAACAAACCTGCACAATCGGCACATGTATCCCAGGAATTAAAGTAAAATTTAAAAACAAAAAAAAAAGAAGAAAAAGGAAAAAAAGTCGTGTTAGAAATGACTTTGAATTTGATGTGACGGAAATGGCAGTGTACCTCTGTGGCCTTCCCCCTAAAACATATAAGTCTGCTTGAACATCAGAATAACATCAAACATAGCACAATTGAGGTAAATTCTACATAATATCTGACTAGTACTATTCAAAACTGTCAAGGTCATCAAAAACTAGAAAAGTGTGAGAAGCTGTTACAGCCAAAAGGACCACAAGGAGACAAGATAACTAAGTGAAATATGGTATCCCAGATGAGATCATGGGGCAGAAAAAGCACATAAGGTAAAAACTGAAGCAATCTGTAGTTTATAGACTTCAGTTTGTAATAATGAATCAATATTCATTCATTTATTGTATAGCAATGGCACTATCTTAAGGTTAAGATGTTAATGGTAGGGGAAACAGAATCTGAGATATGTGGGAATTCTTCGTGCAGTCTTTGCAATGTTGCTATATTTCTGTAATTGTTTTGTAACAAAATTTTATTTTTAAAAATTCCTCTACATAATTATCATGGTAGTTAATTCACTCAGCTTCTGAATTTACTAAATGAGTATGCACTGGATAGGAATCTCACAATATAAAAGCTTTTTCAGTTATGCTAATAAATTGCCACATTTCTGTTAATTCCTCTGGGCCTCAGGTTAGTTTAAGCCAGGGGATAAGAACAAAAGTTTAGGAGTCTAAGAGACATGGTTTCAATGTAGCTTTTCTTTTTTCTAGTTAAGTGAACTTTAGCTAGGTAAGTTATATAAAGTCTCCTAATCCTGTTATGTAAGAAATCCACAGTTTAATACAATAATGTTGAGCCAAGTATTTTTAACTCGCAGAAAGTGTATGATCTCTGAAAACTAATAAACTGACAGGAAAAACATTAAACATCATAACTTGCCTCCCATTCCACTCAATGTGAGATTTCTCCAAAAAATCATTTCAGGGTAACCACATCTTGGATTGTAATACTGGTACTTTAATATATGGATTTTTCATACAAAGCCAGTAAAGTAGTTTATCTGGAATTCAAAAAAAAAATGATAATCTGACCAATAGGAAAACCCAGCTATAAGGATTCTTGCAAAAAAATATTTCATTCATCTCCCACATGGCACCTAAGGCACTTTCCAGAGAAATTTTGACTTTATAAAATTTCCACCTTATTTGCTAATGAATCCTTGTAGAATAAATAATTCCATTATTCCCACTATATCAACCTAATAGAATAATGAGCAAAATTCAAGGAGAAAATGGTTTTACTGTACTTAGTGCCAAAGATTTAGTAAGTACTCAAACTCCAGCCTCTACTGAGAGAAATAATAGAAGCTCCTGCCAGCTTAAGCACATCCTATTGTTATCAGTAAGAAAATTAGGGTAAATCAGTAAAGTCTTCATGTTTCCTTCATTATCAAACATCAATGGTTTGATAATTCTGTTCTGATAGTAAACCCTGCAATGCTTAATGGCTGTCATCAGTTTTAGCTTTTATTGCATATACATAAAACAAAATATTATTTTGATCACATTATATTTTACTTTTTATATTTGGTTTATCTAAAATAAGCTTAATATTTAGATGGCTATATTATTAAAATATTATTTACCTAGAGCAATTTATTTTCTTTATTTTAGGGCAAATTACATAGAACACAAATCTCTTTGGAGTATGTTATATATGTCTATAATGTATACAATATTTTCATAATTTAAAATATTCGTATACAGTCAAGAATGCATCATTTTAATATTGTCTCCTTTTGAATACTTGCAATAACTTATTAGATATGTTATTTTCATCAATCCTACTTATAAATAAATTGTTCTTTCTTGAGCTTTCAACCACAAAGGTAGGTTTCATTGCTTTCATGAATATACTATAATTGGGCTGGTATTTCAAGATCCATTTTGAAGTATAATGAATATTTTCCCAATATAAAACATTTTGCAATATATAACCCAAGAGAAATAGTTTATCCTCAGTTCCCCTATCGGATTTAACTGAGTATGACTATGAATGACAATGATCTATTTCCAAGGTTTGACAAGCAGCACTGACTGCCTTTTTGTAAGAGATTGGTTATTTGGCTATTCTCTCACAAGGGACTTTTTGTTTCCCAGGGAATTTCATTTTAAAATGTTTAATTATCTCTATAAGTAAAAAGTTGATAATAATGAAACGGAAAATTAGATCCCCTTATAAAATTTCCACTGTAGGAAACTATGATATTCTCTTAGTCTAGATATTATAAGGATGACTGAAAAAAAAAGCAGTTTAGACTTGCCATAGATTAATTATGGTTAATTGTAAACAATTTAAATCAGGTCATCTTACAGCAGTGGGTGTAAGACCAGAATTTTGATTGTTGGAAGGATGAAAAAGAGTACAATCCCTACCTCTTAGGGAAGATTATAATCTCATGTGTAGGAGGGTTCATTTATTTTCTCTCTTTTATACATTTTTTTCTTCCCTGAATGTGTAGCATATAAATTATCTCAAAATCACATTGCAAATGTGATAGGTGTAATTTGTCAAGGTAGGTCAGTTTCAACCTGCATTCTCTCTTTGTCTTTTGTAAGACACCACACATACAGTGTAAAGTAACCTTTAAAAATACCAGTGTATCTACATAAATATCAAATAGCTCTGTGTTTTCTCCTTGCAAAGCTTCAAGAACTATTAGTTTATAACACTACCCTCTTCTACCCAAAAATACCTAGGTGTTTTTGAGCTACATGTTATTTCCTGAAAAAAGTATAGATTACCATCTAATGCACATTAATGTATTTCTGTATTTGTAGGTAATATAGTTAATCCAAAGTATGGCACAAGGTGTCCATCTGTAATGCACTCCCCTTTTCAAAGCAAGTCTGAAGTATTTCCTTATTGTATAAACTAGTTATCTAGAAAATTGCCATTATTTCAGAAAAGTGCAATTTTTTCAAATTATGTACGGATTATGTGCTCTTAAGGGTACTTTGAAAATGACGGGTTTTCCAAAGAAAGTCTTAAAAGCATTTATGGGAGTCCAAAAAAAAGTGCTTTCAGTAAGAGGAAAAACACTTTGATTCTGTTAAATAGATCACCTAAATTATTCTCTATACAGTTTCACTCTGGAAAGCCACTTTTTTCCTAGTTCTTTTCATTTTCATGCGCATAATTGTCCTTCCTAGGATTATTTTATATAATGTAATTTTGATTACATTAATGGACTAGTTTATAGAAAATATTCAAAAACAGAAAAGGTAATATAAAAAGAAGAAGGAAGGCCAATTGGAAAATTCACCCTATTAGCAGGTTCCAAGTATGAGGCCAGCGTTAAAATTTGCATTTATAATTAAATCACTGTTAGAATTCACCCTACAGCAGCACCTTGAAAATGAAAACATAGTTTCAGAGATGACTGTTGGCCTTCATATTAAAACAAAACAAAACACTTCTTAAATTATTTACTTAATATGTTTTGTTTTGGTTTCTGTTATATAATCCTGGACATGAAGAGAAGCCATAAGATTTATAATATCAAAATTTCAAAAATAATCAATGTAATTCAGAGATACTTAGAGTTAACTGCATCTTTCTGTTTATAGGAAATCCCTGGGTATCAAAACTGTGGTCTATATTCTTTGTATAAATATTATAAAATATCTTTGGAACATCATTTCAATATAGCATCATTTATGCAGACATTAAACAGAAATACTTACAAACCAGTAAATTAATTTTGTAAAAGAAACCTTATTAAAAAAGGAAAAAAAATGAGCTCTGTTATAGCCTCCTTATGTGCCTTAAAATCCTAAATTTGATCAATTACTTTTATAATTCAGATAATATCTTTTCCAATCATTTAACTATGGCTGGAATAAAGTTAAGAAAAAGTAAAGTGATTATTAAACTATCTTAAACCAAAAAGTGTATTTCTGAATACAGAAGGGTAAATAGCAAAATTATCTGCCACTGAGCATCTTTTTCTAATGTTTTCATTGATGTATCAAATTTTGATACTGCAGAAGACTTTCTGTGAATGCGTAAGAAGTCGCTAACATATTGTGAGATTTTAATGTATTTTTGAGAGTTTAAGAACTTCATACCATTTTGTGCAATGTCTTAAAATAAGGACCTGCCATAAAATAATGTGTATTCAGTACTTTTACATTATTACTAAAATCCTAAAGACAGATCAAACATGTTTGGTGCCAAAAAACTTATGCCATGCTGCTAATGTAGTTACTATGTTGTTTAAGTGTACTGATTTTGTCATACATATTTAATCATTTCTTAGGTGTACTTTCCCCCTTCTCTTCTTTCTTAACTCACATGGTACAATCTGTATAGAGGAGGTGTATATGTTTGTAAATGTACCACGTGTGCATAAGAATAACAGGTGTGCTTATAAAAATCAGAAAAGGTAATTTTCCTTTTACTCATGATTAATGAAAATTGTTCATTAAGTCAGAAGTTGAAAATTAACAACTGTTTTGGTATGATCCCAGTGTAGTTTAGTTGTAATATCAGAGGTTAAGTAAACTGTGACACACACCTGCACATATATTATATATAACATACATATATAATGTATATATTATATATAATATAACATATAATTAACAGAATTAATATGTACTACATTCATATATATTATTTACATGTTATATTAATAATATATATGAATAATATATTATGATTATATAACATATATATATGAAATATTTGATATATATTAAAATATATATATGAAATATTTTTCTGGTTTTCTTCAGTAGCTGTGTAGTGGCATAGCTTGGTGTTTTCTAATGAAGTGAAAATCAGTAGAAAATAATGAAGTATCCTATATATAGGACACTACATCATATTCTCAAAACATCAGTTTCTTCATTTATAAAATTGAGATGATAATGCCTGACATAACAGTAGACATGAGGATCAAATGAGATCAAATTGATGCCTTTTACATGGTAAAAGGCATGGTAAGGGTGTGTTGTAAACTGTCCCATTTCATGAACCGAAACAGACTTTTCCAAAACACAGAAATTGCAATGTTTTTGTTCCTCTGCTCTATTTAAACCCAAAAATTTTCAGCAGAGAGCTAGGGATCAAGCTAAATGGACATGAGATACACACACACACACATATGTCTCTCAAAAACATAGACACTTGACTATCATCCGAAACTTGGGTTTTTCAAAAGATCTTTTTGAAAACTTGGATAATGGTAATTCAATTCTATTTATAAAATCATCATAATGCTATTTGTAGCCAGCACTGCTTAGTCATTTGACCCACTCTAGAGTTTACAACGGAAGTGCTTGTTTGAGCACAGTTACCAAAACCCACGGGCATCTAAACATTGAAACATAAGTCAACCTCTCGGAAATTAATGAAAATGGGTTGCTTAGTAGCAATTACTGATTGAAAAGTTTAATCATAACTTAAATAGCAACCACCAACCACATGTATACTCTGTATTTCTACATAGTTTGGAAAAGTGGTTTCTCTCTATGCTATGCGGCCATAAAAAAGGATGAGTTCATGTCCTTTGTAGGGACATGGATTAAGCTGGAAACCATCATTCTCAGCAAACTATCGCAAGAACAAAAAACCAAACACCGCATGTTCTCACTCATAGGTGGGAATTGAACAATGAGAACACTTGGACACAGGAAGGGGAACATCACACACCGGGGCCTGTTGTGGGGTGGGGGAAGGGGGGAAGGATAGCATTAGGAGATATACCTAATGTAAATGACGAGTTAATGGGTGCAGCAGGCCAACATAGCATATGTATACATACATATGTAACAAACCTGCACGTTGTGCACATGTACCCTAGAACTTAAAATATAATTTAAAAATAAAACCTGTATATAAAAATTCTGATTAAATAGGATTGAGAAGCTTCAAAACAAAAACAAAAACAAAAAAACAAAAAGAATAAGCTCAGCTAACATAAAATCACCTGAAAATTAGACTGAAACAATTTACAAATATAAAAGAGGGCTGCATATTTTTTCTTCTATGAACTTGTGAATTATGTGAATTGGTGGAGGTTATCTGAAATCAGCTGGAAATTTATAACACCAAATCTATGGGTGTGACTCATTATAGACCTAGTGAATTGAAGTGAATACATGTCCTAGATGTGTGTGATTTGTGTGATAAGCAGGTGCTACATATAAGCAGGTGTAAAATTAGGGTTACGCTCAAACTGTTTCCTGATACATAAATCTTATTGGAAAAAATTCATGTTTCAAAATCAGCATTATAGCAGAGGTAACCGAAGTTGGAATACCTACCAAGATGATAATTTTTTTTTTTTTTTGAGACGGAGTCTCGCTCTGTCGCCCAAGCTGGAGTGCAGTGGCACAATCTCGGCTCACTGCAAGCTCTGCCTCCTGGGTTCACGCCATTCTCCTGCCTCAGCCTCCCGCGTAGCTGGGACTACAGGCGCCCGCCACCACGCCTGGCTAATTTTTTGTGTTTTTTAGTAGAGACGGGATTTCACTGTGTTAGCCAGGATGGTCTTGATCTCCTGACCTCGTGATCCCCCGCCTCGGCCTCCCAAAGTGCTGGGATTACAGGTGTGAGCCACCGCGCCCGGCCAAGATAATAATTTTTCTACTTCCTCGCTTACCCACCTTCTGAAAGGTGGCAAAATTCAATGTTAATACTAACTGGAAGGATTTAGTTATGTGACTGAATGCAGAAAAACAGATAGAAACTCTGTTGGAATGCAAACGTGACATTCATGGTAGAAGTTATTAAAACTACCAAACAATCAATTCAACCAGTCTGTAGAGAGGAAATGCCTGCATCCTGAAGTTAGAGTATTAAAAGGATGCTGGAGATTTACATTTTTGCAAAACCATAAACCTAGAATTATAGAAATCTGTCTGACTGAAAACCCTAACTTTTTTCCCATTAAACCAGTGACTATTAAAAATTTATGGTTCTCTTGAGGATATGATGACTGCAATAAAAAAAAACCATTAATACTTAGTTTGGCCTCCCCCATTGTCTGAATGAAGCATAGTACTATTTTGGCACAGAAAAGATTTATATTTCTAAAGGCCCTGCTATTCAACATATATACCATGAATAACACAGTCCTCCTAAAAGTTTTACATTCTGGATAAGACAAGAAGCTGATTATCAAATACAGAAATTTTGGATTTTTTAAAAATTCAAAATTGACCCCAACTTTATCCAATCAGAACTGTTGAATGTCTATGACAATTGAATCATAAACACAGCCTTCCTTCTTTCTTAGAGAAATTTAATTTCTATGAATTCTAGACTCTTTTGCACTATAATTATTGTAAATAACAAACAACCCTAACAATAATGATTTTTCATTCAGTGCCCAAAACATTTCTCAATTCTATTATTCTTATTTAAAATGAAGGTTCCAGCAATATACCCACAAGAATTAAGTCACTGAAGTTCAATGAGTTGCATTGCCTGAGAAATTTATTTCACTCTTCTCTTGTTCTCAGCAATGATTTTTTTGGCTTTCTGGGGAAGTCTCTCTGTGCAACAAAATATCTTGTTTTTACTAAGTGTGTTTCTGAATTATTTCTGACTCACAGCCAACTTGTCTACCTTTTCAAAAAATATAGAATATTTTGATATATACTTTATATTTTTATTTATAATATAAATTTTATATATTATACACATAATATATATTTTAAATATATATTTTATATATAATTTAATGTAATATAATATATAAGAATTAATATATGATTTATGTATATTATGTGTTTTATATAAAATATGTATTTATATATATTTTTAAAAAACAAGTGGAAAGTGCTGAGAGGTTGGTGGATGTCTTTCTTTTAGTAGGTATTTTTGCAGGACTGAGGAATCTAGTAATTGAAGCATCTGTTTAGAACAGGTCACAGTGGCTGGAGTTTGACCAAGATTCCAGCCCAGTGTCAACAGCAAAATTGAGACAATTGTTCCAGATTGCATTTTACACAACCAATGGTATTTTAGTTTGGCTGTAAAAGGAATTTTTAAATGGTCTTGTCTGTGTATGTGTACAATACAGCAGTTGTTAAAATATACATTTGCTTTTAACCTATGACTTAAATTATAGAATTGAAGCTGAATAATCTCTATGTTGCTGCTTAATTTTAAACAAGAAAACTAATATTACTAAAACAAAAAAAACAAAATAGCCAATTACAATGGCCTCCTAAATTTTTAATATGTTTTATTTTATCACTAATAAAATTACTCATCTCAGAAATACTGTATCCTACTTGGTAAATAAGTTAATAAGACAAAATACTAAATGTATGTGGTTATTAAATAAATATTAACATATTTTTAGATAAAAATACTATTGGTTTAACCACACCTAATCTTTTTATATGTAAATCATAATTTTTTGAATACTCAAGAATAAGAGTTATATCTTGTAAAAGTCACATAAAAGAAAATTTTTGAGCTCTATAGATTATATAAAAATTTCTAGTATAGCTTATTTTGTAACGTTTCAAACCTGAAAGTTATATGTCATCATCTGTTATATTTGATCCTATACTAATTATTCTTGTCAATTAAGATAAAAATGTTTTTATAATTAAAACATAAATTTATGTTTTGTCGTCATCTAGCTTAAATATGTATTAATTTAGAAAATCAATAATTTTGTAAAAGTAGAGTTTAATACTAAAACACATTAGGTTGATGCAGAAGTAATCGCAGTTTTGCCATTACTTTCAATGGCAAAAACAGCGATTACTTTTGCACCAACCTAATAAATGTATTTTTATGATACTTGGTTCATAAAAATTACTTTCTGAAAACAATGAACTATTAGCTCTTTTTTGACTTTATTCTTTCTTTATCAACTTCTGTATTAGAAATCCATAGATTATCTCAAGTTTGTGTATTCAAGGTTTTAGATTTTTTTATGAATTATTTTATTTTGATAAGAACACACGAGATCTAACAAAATTTTAAGTGTGCAATATGATATTTTTAACATAAGTACAACGTTGTACTACAATGATCTTTTATAATGATGACTCTAAGTATTAACAGATGATCAATTTGGGTATACTTTTTGAGATTATTTGATCTTTCTTTGCTTCTATTCTAGGAATATATGCATCTCACACCATTCTACCAACAAAAGGAAAAATATAAGCAAATATCTTAGTAAATTCAGATTAGTTTTACACTAGTTAAAGATCAGAGCGCTGCTTTCTAACATTAGCTGGCTTCTATGACAACTGTGGGAATGAGCTGAAATGTGTCTCAAATATTAAGCTATAGGTGCCAGAAGAGGGGGCGTCTATCTGTGTCTAACTTGTCTGACATCTTCATAATGTCTTATTCTTTATATCTGAGATCCTGACTTTTTATTTTTTCCTTTGTAAGTAGTGAGGAAGCCTCATACACCAAAGAACCAAGTCAAGATTTGATGTAAATCTTTGTGTGTCAATAGCAAAGCACTGAAGTTCGAGTTAAGCCTTTTGCATAACCCACTATCTAACCACAAATTCTTTACTCCAGGATTCTCTGGGTTACAATTCTGTACCTGAACTAAGATTTGTAGTTAATATCAGCCCCAAAGGAAATGGTTTATATCATAAACGCAACCTCAAAATCCCCAGGCTTTTCTGGGAGTTTGATAAGATTCTTTCATCATATGGATGTGGAATATTTTCAAAGGAAACATGTTGGCATAAGTTGTCTACTTCAAGGAGGAATTAACAAATCAGACGAAATATCCCAAGTGTGAGGGAGCTAATTTTCTAATAGGATTATAGATACTATTAAGGATTTATTTAAATCTGACATGAAATTCTGGAGAATTCTAAGAAGGAGGAAACTTAACTTCCAGTGCTTTAAGTATACTGCCTGCCAGCTGGGAAAAAGTCAAGTTAAGATAATATTGTTCGCTTATTAGATAAAAAAAAATGAAATAGTGCAAATGACCTATAGTCTAATTGTCATAAAACTGTAATAGAAATTTCTGAAAATGTTAAAATGGTTGACATGTAAATCCAGAAAATGTGTAATAATCTAATACTCATGTAGTACCATAAAGAAGATAATTTCTTAGACTTACGGTGCTTTGATAACTTGGCTTTAAAAAAAGCTATGTATCTTCTCTTTGATCTTTTCATGGTATAAAATATTACAGAAGTGTAACATTCAATTTTATGTAAGATCATGAAAACATAAACATATTTTTAACAAAATGACTTTTTAAAAGATTTATCCCTTGTTAACCTCAGGCAAAGCTGCATGTAGACTTATTCTACATAAACTATATCAAAATGCATGTCATCTCTTAGATAAGTTTTTACTGTCATTGTGTTGTGTGTAGTGTAATTAAGAGTTTCAAATGATTTTAGGACTTTAGACTATCTTTAGCACGGATAAGAAATGAGCAGCTGAGCAGCTTTTCATTGCTTAAGGATTTTGATTACCGATTTCTATGAAGATTAAAATTTGTAAGAAGACAATTTAAGGCCAGGCATGGTGGCACACGCCTGTAATCCAGCACTTTGAGAGG